>NC_000008.11:31072223-31375254 GCF_000001405.40 Homo sapiens | reverse complement strand
AACCAAATGAAGCACTTTGGCTAGCACCCCTCATCAAATTGTTGTTGTTAGTGGACCAGGAACACCTGGGTCCCTAGTACAGCAGGTTCCTAACCTTGAGGGGCCAGAGAAAAAAGCAGGGGGCCTGGTACCAGTGCCCCAGAGTAAGAATATGCAGCAAGGCAGTGCTGAGATTTGGCTTCCTGAAATCTTCCAGAAATGAAGCCAGTTGACTGAACCCACCTTATACCACAATCAAACTCCCAAGGGCATCAAAGAAGATAAAAGGCAAAATACCCCATCCGAACGACAAGTAACTTTTAAGATTAAAGGAACATTAACACAGATGAGAAAGAACCAAGAATTCTGGCAACTCAAAACATCAGTTTCTTCTAACCTCCAAATGAGATAATGGTTACCTCCCCACTAGTTCCCCAACAATGGTTCTTAGCCAGACTGAAATAACAGACATAGAATTCAGAATACGGACAGGAACAAAGATCACTGATACTCAGAGGAAAGTCTAAACCCAATCCAAAGAATCTAAGGAATACAATAAAATGATACAGGAGCTGAAAGACAAAATTGCCATTTTAAGAAAGAACTAAACTGATAAGATAGAACTGAAAAACTCACTACAGGCATATATAATACAACTGCAAGTATTAACAGCAGAATAGACCAAGCTGAGGAAAGAATCTCAGAGCCCAAAGACTGGTTCTTCAAATTAACTCAGCCAGATAAAAATAAAGAAAAAATAATTAAAAAGAATAAACAAAACCTCTGAAAAATATGGGATTATGTACGGAGACCAATTCTATGACCCATTGGTGTCCCTGAAAGAGAGGAAGAAAGCAACCAACTTGGAAAACATATTCAAGGATATCTGTGAAGGAAATCTGTGAGGATTTCCCCAACCTCACTGGAGAGGCCAACATACAAATTCAAGAAATGCCGAGAACCCTGTGAGATACTACACAAGATGACCATCCCCAAGACACATAGTCATCAGATTCTCCAAGATCAAAATGAAAGAAAAAATATTGAAGGCAGCTAGAGAGAAGGGGCAGGTCACCAACACAGGGAACCCCATCAAGCTAATGGCAGACCTTTCAGCAGAAACCCTGCAAGCCAGAAGAGATAGAGGACGTATATTCAATGTTCTTAAAGGAAGGAAATTCTAACTGAAATTTCATATCCAGCCAAATTAAGCCTCATAAGTGAAGGAGAAATAAGATTACTTTCAGACAAGCAAATGCTAAGGGAATTAATTACCACCAGACCAGCCTTACAAGACAGCCTTAAGGCAGTGCCAAATACCGTAACAAAAGACCATCATGGCCACCACAAAAACACACTTAAGTACAAAGACCATTGACACTATAAAGCAACTACACAATGAAGTCTGCATAATAATCAGCTAACAGCATGATGACAGGATCAAATTTGCATATATCAATATTAACTTTGACTGTAAATTGACTAATTGCTTCAATTAAAAGGTACAGAGTGGCAAGTTGGATAAAGAAGAAAGACCCAACTGTATACTATGTTCAAAAGACCTATCTCACACATAATGACACCCATTGGCTCAAAGTTGAGGGATACAGAAAAATCTGAACACTTGACCAAATGGACCTTACAGACATCTACAGAACCCTCCACTGAAAAATAATAGAAGCTTCATTCTTCTCACCTGCACATGTCACATACTCTAAAATTGACCATGCAGTTGGCCATAAAACAATCCTTAGCAAAGTCAAACAAATCATGCCAACCACACTCTTGGACCACAGCACAATAAAAATAGAAATCAATACTAAGATCACTCAAAACCATATAATTACATGGAAATTACACAACCTGCTGCTGAATGACTTTTGGGTAAACAATAAAATTAAGGCAGAAATCAAGAAATTCTTTGAAACTAATGAGAATAAAGATGCAACATACCAGCATCTCTGAGATGAAGCTAAAACAGTGTTAAGAGGAAAATTTATTGTGCTAAACGCCCGCATCAAAAAGTTTGAACGATCTCAAATTGACTACCTAACATCACACCTAGAGGAACTATAAAAACAAAAACGAATCAACCTCAAGGCTTGCAAAAGACACAAAATAACTGAAATCAGCTGACCTGAATGAAATTGACACGTAAAAAACCATCCAAAAGATTAATGAATCCAGGAAGCGGTTCTTTGAAAGAATGAGATTGACAGGCCACTATCTAAACCAATAAATTTAAAAAAAGAGAAAAGATCCAAATAAACTCAATCAGAAATGACAAAGGGGACATTACCCCTGACCCCAAAGAAATATAAAAAGCCCTTAGAGACTATTACAAACACCTCTATGCACACAAGCAAGAAAACCTACAAGAAACTGACACATTCTGGAAACATACAACCTCCCAAGATTGAACCAAGAAATTGAAACCATGAAAAGGCCAATAATAAGATCCAAAATTAAATCAGTAATACAATGCCTACCAACCAGAAAAAGCCCAGGACCAGATGAATTAACTACCAAATTCTGCCAGATCTGTAAAGAGCTGGTACCATTAGTAATGAAGCTATTCCAAAAAATTGAAGAGGACAAACTCCTCCCTAACTCGTTCTATGAGGCCAGCATCATCCTGATACCAAAACCTGGCAGAGACACAACAAAAAAATAAAACTTTAGGCCAATATCCTTGACTAACATATGCGAAAATCATCAACAAAGTACTAGCAAACTGAATCCAGCAGCAAATCATAAAACTAATCCATGATGATCAAGTAGGCTTTATTCCTGGGATGTAAGGTTGGTTATGCAAATCAATAAATGTGATTTATCACATAAACCGAACTTAAAATAAAAGCCATATGATCATCTAAATAGATGCAGAAAAGGCTTTTGATAAAATTCAACATCCCTTCATTAAAACATTCAATAACCCTGGCATGGAAGGAGCATACCTCAAAATAACAAGAGCCATCTATAACAAACCAACAGCCAACATCACACTCAACAGGCAAAAGCTGGAAGCATTCCACTTGAGAACCAGGACAAGACAAGGGTGCCCACTCTCACCACCCATATTCAGCATAGTACTGGAAATCCTCATCAGAGCAATCAGGCAAGAGAAGGAAATAAAAGGCATTCAAATAGGACAAGAGAAACTCAAACTATCTCTGTTCACAGATGGTATGATTTCATACTTAGAAAACACCATAGTCTCTGACCCAAAACTCCTATATCTGATAAACAACTTCAGCAAAGTTTCAGGATATGAAATAAATTTACAAAAATCCGTAGCATTCCTGTACCTCAACAACATCCAAGCTGAGAGCCAAATCAAGAATGCTATACCACTCACGATAGCTCTAAAAAAAATGAAACACCTAGGAATACAGCTAATAAAGGAGGTAAAATATTTTTACAACAAGAATTATAAAACATTGCTGATAGAGAAAAGAGATGATACAAACAAATGGAAAAACACTCCATGCTCATGGATTGGAAGACAACATTGCTAAAATGACCATACTGCCCAAAGCAATTTACAGATTCATTGCTATTCCTATCAAACTACCAATGACATTCTTCACAGAATTAGAAAAACACTTTCAAAATTCATATGGAACCAAAAAAGAGCCTAAGTAGCCAATGTAATCCTAAGCAAAAAGAACAAAGGCATCACTTTATCTTACTTCAAACTATACTACAAGGCTACAGTACCCAAAACAGCACGGCACTGGTACAAAAACAGATACATAGACCAATGGAACAGAATACAGAGTCCAGAATTAAAGCCACACACCTACAACCATCTGAACTTATACAGAGTTGAAAAAAACAAGCAAGGGGGAAGGACTACCTACTCAGTAAATGATGCTGGGATAACTGGCTAGCCATACACAGAAGATTGAAACTGGACCCCTTTCCCTACACCATATACAAAAATCAACTCAAGATGAATTAGACTTAAATGTGAAACCTAAAACTATAAAAACCCTGGAAGATAACCTATGAAATACCATTCTGGACATAGATCCTGGCAAAGATTTCATGACAAAGATGCCAAACGCAACTGCAACAGAAACAGAAATTGGCAAATGGGACCTAATTAAACTAAAGAGCTTATACACAGCAAAAGAAACTATCAAACAGTAAACAGATTACCTACAGAACGGGAGAAAATATCTGCAAAGTATGCATCTGACAAGAGTTTAATATCCAGAATTTATAAGCAATATAAACAAATTAACAAGCAAAAAATGAATAACCCCATTAAAAAGTGGGCAAAGTACATGAACAGGCACTTTTCAAAAGAAGACATGCATGCAGCCAACAATCATATGAAAATATGCTCAACATCACCAATCATTAGAGAAATACAAATCAAAACCACAATGAGACACCATCTCACACTAGTCAGAATGGCTATTATTAAAAAGTCAAAAAACAACAAATGCTGGCGAGGTTGTAAAGAAAACTGAATGTTCATACAAGTCTGGTGAAAGTGTAAATTAGTTCAACCATTGTGGAAAGCAGTTTGGCTATTTCTCCAAAAACTGAGAAGAGAACTACCATTTGACACAGTAATCCCATTATTGGGTATATATCCAAAGTAATATAAATCATTCTATCATAAAGACACATGCACATGTATCATCACCACAGCACTAGTCACAATAGCAAAGACATGGAAATCAATCTAAATTCCTATCAATGGTAGACTGGATAAAGAAAATGTGGTACATATGCACTATGGAATATACGCAGCCATAAAAAAGAATGAGATCATGTCCTTCGCAGCAGCATGGTTGGAGTCAGAGGCGCTTATCCTAAATGAACTAAACAGGAAAAGAAAACCAAATACTGTATGTTCTCACTTATAAGTGAGAGCTAAACATTGAGTACCCATGGGAACAAAGAAGGGAAGAATAGATACTGGGGCCTACTTGAGGATGCAGTGTGGGAGGAGGATAAGGATTGAAAAACTAGCTATAGAGTACTCATGCCTATTACCTGGGTTTTGAAATATTCTGTACACCAAACCTCTGTGACTTGCAATTTACCTACATAACAAACCTGCACGTATATTCTTGAAACTCAAATAAAAGTTAAAAAATAAAAGAATAGGCCAGGCATGATGGCTCATGCCTGTAACCCCAGCAGTTTGGGAGGCTGAGGCCCCAGCACTTTGGGAGGGCAAATCACCTGAGGTCAGGAGTTTGAGACCAGCCTGATCAACATGGTGAAACCCCATCTCTACTAAAAGTAGAAAAATTAAATGGGCACGGTGGGCACCTATAATCCCAGCTACTCAGGAGGCTGAGGCAGGAGAATCACTTTAACCCGGGAGGCGGAGATTGCAGTGAGCCAAGATCACATCACTGCACTACAGCCTGGGTGACAGAGCCAGACTCTGCCTCAAAAAAATAAATAAATAAATAAAAGAATAAATAGAAAATTTCAAAATTACAGTAGTTGATTCTGCCATCCATTTCTCCATAATTGATTCAAGAATTAGTTAGAAAAAAAGCATTAAAGACATAGAAAGTGTGACCAGCATAATTAATCACCATGATATAATTGACAATTATAAAACACTAACTCCAATTATTGCAAAATGTGTATTCTTTTCAGGTGTAGCTGGTTCATTTATCAGGTCAGATCATATTAAGGCATAAAACAAGTTAAAAGGATCAAAATCACATGGAATATTCTATGATTAAAATGGTATTAAATTAGAAATCAATATTACTGTGGTATAAGAAAATCCTATATATCTGGAAATTAAATAGCATACTTCTTCATAACTAATGAGTAATGAAATCACTAGAGAAATTAGAAAACATCTAGAACTTTAATGGCAATTAAAACATCAAAATTAATGAGGTTAGCTAAAGCAGTGCTTAGAGATAAACTATGACTTTAAATTCTTATATTAAAAAAAATATAAAAAGCCAATCAGCTAAGTATCCACCTTAAATAGATGGAAAATGTAGAGTAGGTAAATTGAAGGTAAGTAAAAGGAAGGAAAGAATAAAGAAAATAATAGAAATCAATAAAATAAAAAACGCAGACAATAGAAAAATTAACAAAGCCCAAAGCTGGTATTCTGAGAGGAAAAACAAAATTGACAACCCCCTAGCTAGACTAATAAAAAAAATTAGAGGGAGAACACAAGTCACAAATACCAAGAATGAAAAGTACTTTATCATGGCAGATCCTACACATGTTAAAAAAGTAACTCCATCAACAAACCAATAAATTTGACAATTTACCTAAGACAATTTTTTCTAAAACATACTACTCACAAAATTGATACATGAAGAAGCAGAAAATCTGAATATAATTATTAGAGAAATTAAATTTGGTATCAAAAACATTTCTCACACAAAAAAAAAACAAAACAAACAAACAAAAAAAAAAAACAACAACTGGAAGACCAGATGATTTTACTGGTGAATTCTACTGAATACTCAAAAAAGACATAATACCAGTCTTACATAAAATCTTTCAGATATTGGAATCCACTGCCCAGCAGAAGAGGGACACCTCCCCAGCAAAATTATATGAGGCTAGTGTAATCCTAACACCAACGCCAGACCAAGACATTACAAATACCTCTCATGAATATAGATGCAAATGCCCTTGACAAAATATTAGTTAAATTCAACCCTGTATGAAAACAATAATAAATCATTATGAAGTAAGTTTTATTCTCAGAGTACAAAGTTGGTTTAAGGATCAAAATTCAGTGGATATAATGAATTAAATTTACAGCACAAAGAAGAAAAAACACATGACCATTTTAATAGACGCTATCTACAATTAGGCAGACTCAAGGTTAAAGGTGCAATACTCTGAAACGCCACGTCTGCTTAAGACTTCTAACATGAACTGCAACGAATCTTGCAAACTGCAAAGCCTGAGAGAACACTCCGTGAAAAACTGCCCTCACTTCAGGCCCCAGCAACAAGTTCAGGGGTCCTCAGGGCTGCTCTCACTTTTGACTATCTGGCTACAAATGTGGGGTCCCCACAGACTCCCTCTGGTTCTATAATTCACTATAATGACTCACAGAACTCAGTAGAGCACTGTGCCATTACAAACCTTTATTACAGTGAAAGGATACAAATTAGAACCAGCCAAAGGAATAAACGCATGGGACAAAGTCTCAAAGAGGTCCAGATGTAAAACTTTCATCGTCCTCAGGGACACATTACTCTCAGCATCCATGTGTAGCAATACACTTGGAGTATTACCAACATAGGAAACTCACATGAACTTTGGTGTCCAGAGTTTTCACTGGGGTTTTATTACATAGACATGATTGAATGAATCATTGCCCATGTGGTTGAACACAATCTCCATGTTCCCTTAGTTCTCAGAGATTAGGCTGATAAAACATAGCTTGAAGCCCTGCTCTTCTTAATCACATGGCTGGTCTTTCTGAAGAGGTCATCCCTCACTCTAAGTCACCTTGTTAGCAAAAACTATCACATATGGCCCAAGGAGCCCACTATCAATAACAAAGTAAGACACTTCTATCACTTAGAAAACTCCATGCTTTTAGAGGTAACCTTGCAGAGGCCAGAACAATAGCCAGACCTCTCTTTAGATGAGGGAAAATTTCATACTAAATAGATGCATAAAAAGCATTTGACAAAATTCAACACCCATTCATTATATGAAAAAAAAATCTCTCAGTAAACTTGGATTATAGGGAATTTTCAAGTTTCTAAAGGACCTCAACAAAAAACCTGCATCCAATGTCATACTTCATAGTGAAACACAAATTATTTCCCTCATGAGATTGAAAACAAGACAAGGATACCTGCTTTCATTACTTCTATTCCACATTTTGCTGGAGGCACTAGTCATTGCAATTAGGCAAGAAAAAGAAATAAAGATGTGAAAGGAGGACATGAAATTTTACCTATTTGGAGATTATGTGATTCTTTGTGAGGAAAATACCATGAATCTACCAAACAACTGGGCAAATAATTTGAACAAGTATTTAATAGAAGAAAGTTTGCAAATGGCCAATAAGCACCTGAAAAGATACTTAACATCACTAGTAAGCAGGGAAAAGCGAATTAAAATCACATTAAAATAGCACTGAACACCCATTATATTGGCTAAAATTAAGAAGCTGGACCACAGCAAGTGTGGTTGTGAAACCACACTTAGTGAGGTTGTGAAAAAACTGGAACGCTTATACATCGCTGATAAGAAAGTAAAATTGTACAACTGCTTTGGAAAATGATTTGTCAATTTTGTAAAATGTTAAATATGTGCCTACTAAGGTATTTACCCTAGAGAAACAAAAACACAGGTCCACACAAAGACATGTACACAAATGTTCATGGCAGCTCTATTTTCAGCAGCCCAAAACTAGAAACAATACAACTGTCCATCAACAGGCAAATGTATAAACAAACTATGGTATATCCATGCAATGGAATACTATTTAGCAATTAAAAATATAGTAACTACTGATACACACAACGATGTGAATGAAACTCAAAATCATTGTTCTCAGTTAAATAAATTGGGCAAAAAGTGGTAAATGGAATCACACATCCCATATGATCTAATTTATATAAAAATCTAATAATGCAAACATCTATATTGACAGAAATTTAAAATATGTCACTTGATTATCTCTATAGATGCAGAAAAAGCCTTTGATAAAATTCAACAGCCCTTCATGCTAAAAACATTCAATAAACTAGGTATTGATGGAACATATCTCAAAATAACAAGAGCTATTTATGACAAACCCACAGCCACTATCATACAGAATGGGAAAAAGCTGGAAGCATTCCCTTTGAAAACCAACACAAGACAAGGATGCCCTCTCTCACCACTCCTATTCAACATAGTACTGGAAATTCTGGCCAGGGCAATCGGGCAAGAGAAAGAAATAAAGGGTATTCAAATAGGAAGAGAGGAAGTCAAATTTTCTCTATTTGCAGATGACATGATTGTATATTTAGAAAACCCCATTGTCTCAGCCCAAAAATTCCTTAAGCTGAGAAGCAACTGCAGCCAAGTCTCAGGACACAAAATCAATGTGCAAAAATCACAAGCATTCCTATACACCAATAACAGACAAACAGAGAGCCAAATCATAAGTGAACTCCCATTCACAATTGCTACAAAGAGAATAAAATACCTAGAATCCAACTTACAAGGGATGTGAAGGACGTCTTCAAGGAGAACTACAAACCACTGCTCAATGAAATAAGATAGGACACAAACAAATGGAAAAACATTCCATGCTCATGGGTAGGAAAAATCAATATCATGAAAATGGCCATACTGCCCAAACTAATTTACAGATTCAATGCTATTCCCATCAAGCTACCAATGACTTTCTTCACTGAATTAGATAAAACTACTTTAAATTTCATATGGAACCAAAAAAGAGCCCATGTAGCCAAGACAATCCTAAACAAAAAGAACAAAGCTGGAGGTATCATACTACCTGACTATGAACTATACTACAAGGCTACAGTAATCAAAAAAGCATGGTACTGGTACCAAAACAGATATATAGACCAACGGGAAGAGAAGCCTCAGATATAACACCACACACCTACGACCATCTGATCTTTGACCAACCTGACAAAAACAAGCAATGGCGAAAGGATTCCCTATTTGATAAATGGTGTTGGGAAAAATGGCTAGCCATATGCAGAAAACTGAAACTGGATCCCTTCCTTACACTTTATACAAAAATTAACTCAAGATGGATGAAAGACTTAAACGTAAGACCTAAAACCATAAAAACCCCATGGGCAAAGACTTCATGACTAAAACACCAAAGCAATGGCAACAAAAGCCAAAATAGACAAATGGGATCTAATTAAACTAAAGAGCCTCTGCACAGCAAAAGAAACTATCATCAGGTGAACAGGTAACCTACAGAACGGGAGAAAATTTTTGCAATCTATCCATCTGGCAAAGGGCTAATATCCAGAATCTACAAGGAACTTAACAAATTTACAAGAAAAAAAAATCCCACCAAAAATGGGTGAAGGATATGACCGGACGCTTCTCAAAAGAAGACATTTATGCGGCCAACAAACATATGAAAAAAAGCTCATCACCATTTCTCATTAGAGAAATGCAAATCAAAACCACAGCAAGATACCATCTCACACCAGTTAGAATGGCAATCATTAAAAAGTCAAAAAACAGATGCTGCAGAGGATGTGGAGAAATAGGAACATTTTCACACTGTTGGTGGGAGTGGAATTTAGTTCAACCATTGTGGAAGACAGTGTGGCAATTCCTCAAGGATCTAGAACCAGAAATACCATTTCACCCAGCAATCCCATTACTGGGTATATACCCAAAGGATTATAAATCATTCTACTATAAAGACACATACACACGTATGTTTATTGCAGCACTATTTACAATAGCAAAGACTTGGAACCAACCCAAATGACCATCAATGATAGACTGGATAAAGAAAATGTGGCACATATACACCATGGAATGCTATGCAGCCATAAAAAAGAATGAGTTCATGTCCTTTGCAGGGACATGGATGAAGCTGGAAACCATCAATCTCAGCAAACTAACACAAGAACAGAAAACCAAACACCTCATGTTCTCACTGATAAGTGGGAGTTGAACAATGAGAACACATGGACACAGAAAGGGGAACATCACACACCAGGGCCTGTCGGGGATGGGGGGCAAGGGGAGGGAAAACATTAGGAGAAATACCTAATGTAGAAGATGGGTTGATGGGTGCAGCAAACCACCATGGCATATGTATACCTATGTAACAAACCTGCACGTTCTGCACATGTATCCCAGAACTTAAAGTATAATAAAAATATATATATATACATATATATGTTTGCTCAATAATGGGATGATTGACTAAAAGGGGTCCAAAGGAAACTTTTGAGGGTGATAGAAATGTTTATTTGTATTATGTGAACAGTTTCTCAAGTATATACATATGTCAAAACTGATAAAATTATACACTTTAAATATGTGCACTTCAATTACACATCAATTATGTTGGGAGAAAAAAAGCAAAAAAAATAAAGCCTGTTTTGTCAGATCTGTCAATATTACCTTATACATGTTCTTCATATATACATCTTATATATATTATTCTGTTTCAATGCTAAAATAGTTCTTTGTCATATTTAAGTGTGATGTTCATTATGACTTGATTTTTAAAAAAATAGCTGTTTACTCATAATAGAATTTAAGTGAGAACTTAGAAAACAAACTGACCTTAAAGGTACAGTGGAAGAACAGAGAGACTATTGAGTCATACTCATTTCTCATTTAGCATTTGGAAATAAAATTCCTAGTGAGCTAAAAATCATCAATGAGGAGAATTCACCTTTAACTGGTTAATTAGAAGTGCAGTAACATGCTTCTTTGTCAAAATGAGAGAGAAGTGTCTCAGTTGCCCTGCAAGCATCTGGATGTGTCACAATTAGCTAATTATTGAGGACAATATCTTTGCACTTGATTGGATAGGCAGGCAGTCATTAGGAAAGAAAACGGTAGCCTCAAAAATCCAAATCCAGAACTCCTAGAAGTTAACTTTTGTTTTCATGTTTAAGTAAAGGAAAAAATATTGATAGGGGATGGGAGAAGAGAGGGGGTATGTTTATAGTCACCAATCACACTGTTTTAGAAAATTTTTGTTTGAATTGGGAACAAAAGTCATAGATTTAGCAGTTGTCCTTATATCAAATATTCTGCTCTACTTCATTCACAAACCATCAAAACCTTTCCACATTTTAAACTGTCTCCCCAACTTTTCTAGTATCCAAATGGACACAAACATATAAGTAAAAATGATAACCAAAATATACTTCCTAGGTTTAAAAAAATGGTGTAGATAAGGCAAAATCATTCTAGATTCTGTTAGAAAATCCCTTAACAACAATATATTATCTGCTATTTTTGAGTGTTATGGTGTCCCAAATCTTACTGGTCATTACCTCCTGACAATACAAGTTAATTTTGAAATATTGAATTTAGAGGTAGTTTGTGACTTTTCCATAGTGGGCCTAGGTATGTCTCCCACTGAGCTGCATTGTCACAACAAAGAGAATCTAAGATGACCCATGGTATTCTGTAAAGGGAACATTTTAGAATTTGGCATCAGACTGTTAAAGCAAACTAAATATGGCCTGAGAAGGACTCTGTACTTCCATATCCGAGTCCTTGTGGATGAACTTCAACCTAACTTAATAGGTAGACAAGATTGAAAACCTAATTTAGGAGTATGCATCTGTAACAATAGCTGAGTCTTGGCCAATCCCAGCAGTCATACTTCAACCAGACATACACTGCCAAATGTTTAAACTGTGTTCAAATGACGCAAACACTGAATTGTAACCAATCCAGCTGTTTCTGTACCTCACTTCCGATCTCTGTATATCACATCCCTTTTTCTGTCTGTAAATTTGTTCTGACCACAAGGGCTTCCCTGGAGTCTCCCTCAATCTGCTGTGATTCTGGGGGCTGCCCGATTCATGAATCATTCATTGCTCAATTAAACTCCTTTAAATTTAATTCAACTGAAGTTTTTCTTTTAACTAGACCCAACAGAAATAAGTTCAAAATCAAGTCCTTTGCTTTTTAAAATACATTTAGTTGTTCAACTCTTTGAACTACAATTTTCTCATCATAACATGTACAAAGTAATGCCTGATTTGCAGTGTAAGTATTCAAACTATACTATATATGGTTGCTGTCCATAAATGAAGATTTACTGTATTGAATTCATGGAATAATTCCATAGTTTTGTATGTCTTATATCCTCCAGTGTTTTGTGATCACTTGTTACTTTGTTATTCAAATAAAATGACTCAAGTTTCCATTCCATGTAACTACTGTAGGCCCAGAACCGTATCAAGTATTTCTGATGATTCCCTAGTGGTAAGGGCTTCCGTTTCCTTTGCTGCTAACTGTATCCATTTTCTTGAATGCTAGTGATACAGGAGCTAAAGAGAAATTATTTAGGCAGTTAGTGAGGGTAAGAAAGTCCTCAGCAAGGTTTCCCTTTTAATAAAAAGCAGCCCCCAAATTATTTCTTTTCTAACAAAAAGAAGCCTGAAAAAATCAAGCTGCAGGCATAGATAAGCAAACTAAAAGCTTGCAAAGGTAAATGTCGGCAGCTGTGCACGTAGAAAAGGCTACCTGGGGGCCAGGCATGTTCAACATGGCGGCTCCATCTTCCCTTTTCTTTGTCAACCATGGGCACCGTAAGGAACAGAAAATATGGTGTCAGCCAGGTAGGGAATCCATCTGCATAATAAAAGATTAGGGTGGGATGGCCAACTTCTTCATGCTGGCCTGTCGTACTGGTCCGACCAATCTCTCAGGCCCTATGTAAATCAGACACAACCTCCTCAGCTCGTCTATAAAACTCCATGCATTTCACCTTGAAATCTGAAGACCCACTCGGGAGCCTCTCTCTCTCAGCAGGAGAGACAGCTATTCTCTGTTCTCTTTCTTTTGCCTATTAAACCTCCACTCAAACTCATTTCTTGTGTGTCCACATCCTCAATTCCCTTGGCGTGAGACGACGAACCTTGGGTATTCACCCCAGACAAATGACGCCGCTTAACTAGCTCCAAACTTCCTCTTGACCAATTCCTTCTTCTTCACTTTCCATAGTTAATGTTCTTTCCTACAGCCTTCACCCTTCATCCGAGCATGAAAACACCCTCTTCTCTTTCATTGCCACGAAACACTGCTAACACAAGGCTGTTGTGTATACTCAACTTCCACTCAAGGTTTAAATTGAGAAATATTTATGAACATATTCTTATATGTGTAAAATGTGATATACAAAATGCCATCACTCTGGTTCAGAGCTCTGAAATGGAGTTGGAAAGGACTCCATTCTAAGAAGGACTACATGCACGACCTATAGCCTTACAAATTAAAAAAAATTTAAATTTAAATTTAAAAACCTTGCAAAAAAAATAAGCAAAAAGAATCAAAACTTGCCATGAACTTCTGAACTGGGCCGTACTTCCATGATCACATCCTGAGAAATGACTAAACTTTACCATTGCTGCAGCTCCTGAATGACCGGTGAACTATGAACTCGTGCACTAAGCCAGCCACCTCCACCAGTGATAATTCTTTCAGAACAACTTGTCTAATCACCCTTATCTTCCTTTTAAAAATCCCTACTCCTTTTCCTCTCTTCGAATCACAATTTGTCCTCTAGCTGAATCTGTGTCTCCCAAATTGCAATTCCTAAGATGCCAATCAATGCCTTGTCTTACAGTGTTGCAGTCTGGTCTCTTGCCTCATCTTGGTTAACATATGCAGACACCAATAACTGCTAATCCCATAACCATTATCTGAAAAATAGCCCTGATTGTTATTCACCTCCATCTACCATTTTTGCCTAAATAGTCAATTACAATAAACTGATTAATTTTCACCCCATGCCTACTCTGTGGTGTTAAGTGGGTACCATTACCTTCTTCTCTTTTGTAAAAGGAAACAAAGAACTCATAAGGCATAAGCCCACGTCATAAAAGTCCACTTTGTGACAAAAATAACCTAATTGATGAGTCCCTTCATTAGATGGCATTAGTGCAACTACACTATTCATTCATGCAAAAATATTTCTCGATGGCCTGCAAAATGCAGAGTACAGTGCTAGGTTTTAGAAATAATGGTAAATAAAATAGTCATGATTCTTGCCCTGATAGAGCAGGTAGTCCTGTGAATATAGTCACATAAAATAAAGCTGGAAAGGACTTTGGAAATCATTTGCCACCCAAAAGACCACCAGGATGGCTAAGTAGTAGAAAGGAGAGCTTTACTGGTGATAGCAGTTTGCAAACCAAGAAGAGAGAGTCTGGCCGGGCACAGTGGCTCACGACTGTAATCCCAGCACTTTGGGAGGCCGACGTGGAAGGTGAATCACGAGGTCAGGAGTTTGATACCAGCCTGGCCAACTTGGTGAAACCCCATCTCTACTAAAAATACAAAAAAATTAGCTGGGCATAGTGGCGGACACCTGTAATACCAGCTACTAGGGAGGCTGAGGCAGAGGTTACAGTGAGCTGCGATCATGCCACTGCACTCCAGCCTAGGCAACAGAGCAAGACTCCGTCTCAAAAAAAAAAAAAGAGAGAGAGAGACAGAGTCTCCAGTGTGTACAGAAGATACTCTTTCCTCAAAAAACAGAAAGGGCAGGTTGGGTTTTATGCCTCACAGGGGCTGTAATACACAACAGAGTCATACATATTTAGCAGGTTTGGGGAAAAGCTACACATTTTTATGAAAGCAATTGAGCACATGTGCAATGGGCAAACATATATGTAGCATACATCCCATGTTCACCTGGGGCAAGGTTTTACCAATAAAATGAGGTGGAATTTGGCTTTTTATGTCAAAAGGCTTACTAAAGGACAGAAAGACAGTTCATGGCACAGCCTCTATAAGCAGGCCAAAACTGGCTTAAGGTCTGCAGTTGCTTATTAGGAAAGAATGTTTGTAAGGTCATTCCTCTTTAGTGGGTCTGAGTTGAAAATCAGAGTTAGGAGGGGTCTGATAATTGATTGGCCTGATAGCTTCCATTGCTAGGGGGGTTTCGTAAGAGTTTAGTCTTTCTTATGGCCAAAGGAATTTAGGGAGTTGCCATACAGGCCAATCTCTGAATCCTCCACTCTCCATCCATAGCTAACTTTTGTTTCCTTAATCTTAGGGTCCATGTTAGTTGATACAGAGGTGTTTATTTTAGCCTCTCAGATCACATAACAAAAATCCCTCAAGTTACCAATGAAGCCCACAGAAGTGAAATTACTTGTTTAAGGCCACACAAGTTGGTGACTAAACCCAGATTTGCATCTTCATTATGAAGAACTTAATCTTATCTTTAACGTCACGTAATTGTGTTTATACAACCCGCACAGTTTGAGTTTCAGACATCCAGTGGGGGTCTTGTTACTTATCCCCTTTAGATAAGGGGGTGACTACAGTATTTTAACTCTTGGTGTATGACTTTTCCTTTTCTACAGCTGATTTGAGTCTTATTACTGTTGACACACCCAATGCTGTGCTTGTAGTAGGTACTCAGTAACTGGGTATATTAACCCATGTATTGTTTTTTGGTTAAGCAGGGGACAAAGTCATCATTACTGCTATCCCCAGTCACCACTGTGGTTTGCTCTAGTTAAACTGAGGACTCTTCCTAAGAATTTGATCCAGGACATGTTTTTTTAAAACTCATATTTCATAGCTTCTGGCTGTTCTTTATACTATTAATGGTAACTCAGGGCTAATAGTCAATTTAGTTAAATTTAGCACAGCACATTAGTGAGTTTTTGGATATGCAAATGATGGCTGTTATTGAAAGATTTTTTTTTACCTAAGGCTAAATTTTAATGAATCTTTGTCACTCACACATTTCCGTCTTTTACTGTTATGTGGTCTAGCAGAGTAAAAAATGTTTCCACTCCTCTAAATGCTTTTTCATCACCATACTTTCTCCAACTCTTTCCTGAACTCATCTCTTTCTTGCAATATCTTCCTAATGACAGCCCATAACAACCAATACACACTCCTAACACACTGCTTTACTACAGGCTCAATAAACACCAGACTGACTTCAGGTTTTCTCAGGTTGATGGTTCTAGCAAAAATAATGTCACTGAATAAGATGGAACTCTAGTTCTTCTGCCTGTGATATCAGTTTTCTCACTACCCAACTGCTAAGCCAATGCCATATATTATAGGTTTTTGTTACAATAGCATGCCACTTAAATAACATAGGAATTTACCTCAAAATCAACACCAGCTACTCTAACCTATAAATTCCAAAATGTCACTACCAAAGCTTATTTCTCAGTCACATAAAATGTATTTGTTGCCAGGAGGAAACTCCATTCCATACAGTCATTCAAGGCCCAGATAGACAAAGGTCGTGCCATCTTCTACATATATATAGCTTGCATGGTTTCCAAGATTGCCCTGGGTATTGTCATCCCCTGGAATATTGGGAAGAAAACATGGAGAGTCATGAAGAAGATTTTATGGACCAGATCTGAAAAATTATATGCATAGTTTATCCCTATAGAGTCCATAAGCAAGAACTCCATTACCTGGCCATAATTAACTTCTTGGTAGGCTTAGAAGTGTAGTCTGGCCATGGCCCAGAAGGAAAAAGAGCCATATTTAAAGAATCTCTCATCTTTATCATTGATATGGAGACTCATGGACTTGGAATGAACTTTATAACTTCGTGACTTGAAAAGCAATACTTTATAGTGGAAAGAGCTTGGCCTTTGACATCAGACAGATCTAGGCTTAAATCTAGGCTCAGCCACTCACTATGTATGTGTCCTTGACTGAGTTTATTCACCTCTCTGAAACTTGATTTTCTCATCTGTAAAATGGCACTATAGCACTTACTTCATAGAGCTATAATGAAATGTAAGTGAAATACTATATTTAAGAACTTAACTAAGTACTTGCCACAATATAAATGCTCCAAAACTATAAGCTACTGTTTATATCAGAATTACAGGAAGAATTTTTTCAGGAATCAGGAGTACAACCTGATATCAGTTTTACTTTCCTTATTTACACAAAATTTTTAAATTTTTTCAACAATGGTGACAAGAACACACAATGGAGAAAGGACAGTCTCTTCCATAAATAATGATGGGAAAACTGGATATTCATATGCAGAAGAATGAAACTACATCTCTACCTCTCACCATATACAAAAATCAACTCAAAATGGATTGAAGACTTAAATATAAAATCTGAAACTAGAAGAAAACATAGGAGAAAGCTCCATAACATTGGTCTGGGCAGATATTTCTTGGCTAGGACCCCTAAAGCATAGGCAATGACAAATGAACTTGCATTAAACTAAAAGACACAGCAAAGGAAACAATAGGATGAGGAGACGACCCACAGATTGGGAGAAAATATTTGCAAATTATACATTGGAAAAGGGGCTAATATCCAAAATCTATAAGGAACTCCATTCAGTCAATAACAAGAAAACAAATACCCTAGTGGAAAGATGGGCAAACGACTTGAATAGACATTTCTCAAAAGTATATATATATATACATAATTTTTTTTTTTTTTGAGATGAAGTCTCACTCTGTCACCCAGGCTGGAGTACAGTGACACGATCTCAGCTCACTGCAACCTCTGCTGCCCCAATACAAGTGATTCTCCTACCTCAGCCTCCTGAGTAGCTGGGATTACAGGCGCCTGCCACCGCACCTGGCTAATTTTTGTAGCTTTTTGTAGAGACAGGGTTTCACCATCTTGGCCATGCTGGTCTTGAACTCCTGACCTCGTGATCCACCCACCTTGGCCTCCCAAAGTGCTGGGATTACAGGCGTGAGCCACTGTGCCTGGCCTAATAGATATATTTTTAAATGCACAACATTACTAATCATCAGAGAGATGCAAATTAAAACCACAGTCATATACTATTGCACACATGTAAAAATAGCTTTATCAAAAAGATGAAAGATAACAAATGTTGGCCAGCACATGGAGAAAAGGGAACACTGTTGGTGATACTGTAAATTAGTGCAGCCATTATGGAAAACAGTATGAAGTTTCCTCAAAAAGCTGAAATTAGAATTACTGTATGATTCAGCAATCCCACTATTGGGTATATACTCAAAGGAATTGAAATCAGTATGCCAAAGACATGCCTGCATTTCCATGTTCATTACAGCTTTATTCACAATAGCCAAGATATGGAATCAACTTAGGTGTCTATCAATGGATGAGTGGAGTTTTAAAATGTGATATATATACACAGTGGAATACAATTCGGCCTTGAAAAGTCAGGAAATTCTGTCATTTGCAACAATGTGGATGAACCTAGAGGACAGTATTTTAAGTGAAATAAACCAGGCACAGAGAGACAAATACCATATGATCTCATTTATATGCAGAATCAAAAAAAGTCAGACTCATGGAAATAAACCAGGCACAGAGAGACAAATACCATATGATCTCATTTATATGCGGAATCAAAAAAAGTCAGACTCTGTAATCCCAGCACTTTGGGAGTCCAAGGCGGGCAGATCACGACTTCAGGAGATCAAGCCCATCCTGGCTAAGACAGTGAAACCCCGTCTCTACTAAAAATTACAAAAAATTAGCCAGGCGTGGTGGCAGGCGCCTGTAGTCCCAGCTACTTGGGAGGCTGAGGCAGAAGAATGGCGTGAACCCAGGAGGCGGAGCTTGCAGTGAGCCGAGATCGTGCCACTGCACTCTAACCTGGGTGACAGAGCAAGACTCTGTCCCATAAAAAAAAAAAAAAAAAGTCAGACTCATGGAAGTAGACAATAGAATAGAGGTTACCAGAGGCTGGGGATTGGGGTGGGACAGGAAAAGAAGAGACACTGATCAACAAGTATGAAGTTACAGTTAAAAGAAAGAAGTTCTGGTGTTCTACTGCACAGCACAGTGTTATAGTTAATAATAATGTATGGTATATTTCAAAAGAGGTAAAAGGGAGGATTTTATTTTTATTTTTATTTTTTTGAGATAGAGTCTCACTCTTGTCACCCAGGCTGGAGGGCAGTGCCACAATCTCAGCTCACTACAACCTCTGCCTTCCCGGGTTCAAGCGATTCTCCTGCCTCAGACTCCCAAGTAGCTCGGATTACAGGCACCCGTCACCACGCCCGGCTAATTTTTGTATTTTTACTGGAGATAGGGTTTTGCCATGTTGGCCAGGTTGGTGTCAAACTCCTGACCTCAGGTGATCTGCCCACCTTGCCCTCCCAAAGTGCTGGGATTACAGACGTGAGCCACCGCACCTGGCAAGAGAGGATTTTAAATGTTCTCACTACAATGAAATGATAAATATTTCAGATGACAGATATGCTAATTAGCCTGATGATCATTCCACAATGCATACATGTATTGAAACATCACATTGTACCCCATAAATATATACAATTATTACTTGTCAATTAAAAATAAAATCAAACTTTAAAAAAATTACCTGACACAATGTAAATGTCCCAAAAATATAAGCTACTACATACATCAGATTAAAAGAATTTTGTGAGGAATCAGAAGTACAACCTCATATCAGATTTACCTTCCTTAAACAAAATTTTTTAACTTAGCACTGCTAATTGTGAAATTTGCAGTTATCAAATCATTTCTTCCTACTATGAAGAAATAATTAGGCTCCCAAATTTTTATTTTACTTTTTTACTTTTTATTTCACTAGCTTTAGGGTACAAGCAGATTTTGGTTATATAGATGAATTGTATAGTGGTGAAGTCTGAGATTTTAGTGCACCCCACACTCAAGTAGTGTACACTGTACCCGATAGGTAATTTTTCATTCTTCACTTCCCTCCCAGTCTCCGCACTTCTGAGTCTCCAATGACCATTATAACATTCTGTAGGCCTTTGCATACCCACAGCTTAGCGCCTACCTATAAGTGAGAAGCTACTTCACTTAGAATAATGGCTTCCAACTCCATCCGAGTTGCTGTGAAAGATATTATTTCATTCTTTTTTATGGATTAGTAGTGTTTCATGTGTATATATACCACATTTTCTTTATCTACTTGTTAGCTGATAGACACCCAGGTTGATTCCATATCTTTGCAATTGTGAATTGTGCTGTGATAAACATACACATGCAGGTGTCTTTTTGATACAATGACTTCTTTTCTTTGGGTAGATCCGGACTGCTGGATCAAATGGTAATCTGCTTTAAGCTCTTTGAGAAATCTCCGTACTGTCTAGTGGAAGAGAATTTGAAACAGTTTATATAAAGATAAATGTTGGTTTACAGATGTTCTAAGTAGAACAAAACAATAAATCATTTAAAAATACTTGCTTAAGAGTCAGAATTTATAACTTTGCAGTGGTGTACCTCAAGGTGGCAGAGATATTTCTGCTTAAGGAAAGTTGACAAGGTTTGTTATCTTGCTTTTATCTCAAGATAAAATTATCTGGGGGAACAAAAACTAAAGCATTTTCTTTCACTTACAAATAGAAAATTATTGCCTATGAGCAAGAACAGGCCCCAAATGCCACACACTCCAGGTGACCAAAGCTTCAGAAGTCTTCATGAATCTCAAGAAAAGCTCATGGCTCTCATACCTGTGATCATATCCTGCCCAGGAATGTGCACTGCCTCTTTGCACCAAAGCAATAAAACAGTATTGTTGCTATGTGTAGATTTTATTTATATTGAGATTTCGGGAAGATCATTCTCCAGCACCCACTGTTTCTCTTTTCCATCTATGGACTGAACATTTAGTTCTTGATTGTCTTAAGGATGTTTACTCATTCTCAGATGCTGGTTTTGTTCCATTTGGCAGAAGGAGAGACAGAGGAGGGTGCTTAGGCACAAGAGAGGCAGATGACATGGCAGTATTTTCTTTCTCTATTTTGGTACAGTAGTGATATTCACACGGTATGACTCAATTTATGAAGTTGCTATGTTGACTCATGAAAATCGGTTTTTTCCCAACTGCTGTCCTCCTTATCATTGCTCTAAGGATCAGAGTTTAAAGCTATTTGGGATCATCTACTGACAACAGCTGTCTTTGGAATTATCTTAAAATACTAAATGCCTACATGAAAAGTTGAAAGACTTATATCAAGGCAATGTCCTAGCCACAGTGGGAAATAAGCCCAAACAGGAAATGAATATGAATTCATTCTGATCACATTAAGTAGGAAAATCTGGGCACACAGTGGGAAGAGCTTAGCTAGGTACAGCAAAGGGTTGGCAAGGATTAATCTTATTTTGGTACTGTGAGTATTAGGCAGGCTAACATCAGGCTCAAGATCAACCACTTGGTAGTTAGGAAGAGCTTCACTAAGCTTGGTCATACCCCCAAAAAGCACTTCTATTACAAGGCAGCATATTGAGGAACCCCTACCCAATGAAGACTTTAACCATGGATAAAAACTAATAAGTAAACCTTTCTTGATACCTTCACTTTTACAGTGCCCTACAACTGTTAGGACTTTGTATATTTTGTTTATGCTTCACAATAATCCTATAAAATCTCATATTAGAGATCACTAACCCCATTTTCAGGTGGTAGAACCCAGGTCTCTTAAACTGTCAAGGTTGGTTTCATATCTTTGCAATTGTTAAAACGAAAGATCCAGAGCTAGAATTCAGCTCTCCTAACTACTGGCCCAGTAATTTCAAGCAGTTGTCTCTCCTTTATAAAGAGAAAGCATCTTCCATTCTCACAGGAAGTGCAGTAGCATTCAATCGGGCTTGAATTCTGCTGGAGGGCGTGTTGTATATGTAACCTCCCCTGAGGCCCTCCACAGAAGAGACTCTGCACTCCCAGACATATGTCAGCACTAGGGTCCCCATTTTCCGGGTCTCTGTTATTCCCCGGAGTTTGGATTGGAGCCCTGAGCAACACAAATCATAACAGGACTGAGGAGCAAAATGTCATGTCATTTTTCCTCACCACGAGCATTTGCTTTTTGCATGGCCTTTGGGAATCCCACAGATTCAATTTGGTTCATTTCAACAAATACATAAGGAGAATTTAGTCTTTCATCCTAACAGCCAATCTGTCAGTCAAACCGAATAAGAACATAAGGAACAGAGAAGATCTCAAGGACTAATATTGTTTGTAAGCCACCTGTGGCGAAAAGTATTTTCCAGAGTTGACCACAACAGCAACTCCCATCTCACCTCCCTTCTTACCACGTAATCATCACGTTAAGTGGTGGGTCTGCTGGTTCTCGTTCAGGTGAATATGGGTGAAACTTTACAGTAGCTTTTACCAATAGGGTACAACAAAAATAAGCCTATCTGCTAGATCATTAAAACACCATTCACTTCTACCTTGTTCTCTTGGGGCACTCGCTCACAAAACCCAGTCTCCATGCCATGAGGAAGCACAAACTACCACACAAAGAGACTCAATGAAGACACCACCTGTAAATACTCTAGTCAGACAACCCAGCTGAGGTCTCAGGCAAACGTGAGCATCAACCACCAGACACGTGAGTGACGTGCTCCAGATATTTCTAGCATCCAGCTATTGAGTCACTCCAACTTCAAGATGGAGCCGAGACCCCTTCTTAGGGGCCTACAGCTCCCCACTCCAGGCATGGAAATAAAGGAAAGTCTTGATTTCTTTCAAGGAAAATTCCAAGCACCTAGCCAGCCTTGAAAAGTAAACAAGCAACCTGATAAGGAAAAAGGTAATAGTAGCTTAAGTCAATAGCCAAGGAAGTTAGAGTCACAAGATATTTGGTTCCAGTACAGAAACTAAAGATCACATCTTAACATATGTCCCTGTTTTGTATTTCAGAAACGTGGACTCCCACCAAATGGATCCATCAGCAGGGAGACCTCAGGAAAGAGAGAATTTGGGGACTGAACTCTGACTGTGATTCTTTTTTCTTCCTGAGGGGCCTGGAGCTCACACCTGTGAGCTGGAGCCAGTATTCTTTTATGCTGACCCCAAATGTTTAAACAAAGCTTATCATCCTAAACCAATTGCAAATCAGAAAATTTTTGAAGCTACCTATGACCTGTAAGCCCCCACTTCAAGATATTCCACCCTTTTAGGCCAAAACCAATGTGTACCCTCCATGTATTGATTTATAATTTTGCCTCCAATTTCTGCTTTCCTGAAATTTACCTGTCTTTAAAAACCCTTACCTCCCAGTCATTGGGGAGTTCAGAATTTAAGCATTAACTGTCTGATCCTTTCTTCTTGGAGCCCTGCAAATAAACACCTTTCTTTCTACCAATGCAAACCTCAGTGTAGATATATGATCTTACTGCACCAGCCAAGCAGACCCCGGTTTGGTCTGCAACTTTTTTTTTTTTTTTTTGGGAGGAAGTCTCACTCTCACCCAGGCTGGAGTGCAGTGGTGCAATTGGTGCAATCTCGGCTCACTGCAACCTCCGCCTCCTTGGTTCAAGCAATTCTCCTGTCTCAGCCTCCAGAGTAGCTGGGATTACAGGGATACACCACCATGCCCAGCTAAGTTTTGTATTTTTAGTAGAGACAGGGTTTCACCATATTGGTCAGGCTGGTCTCCAACTCCTGTCCTCAAGTGATCCACCTGCCTCGGCCTCCCACAGTGCTGGGATTACAGGCGTGAGGCACCACGCCCAGCCTTGTTCTGTAACATTTTTAGTGACTTAGTTTAGGCACCAGAAAATGTAGAGCAGAAGCAAGCTGCCCTAACTGTGCTCTGTCCAAATTACTGACCCACAGAATGTATGAGCCTAAGGTTTTACCCCACTAAGTTTGGGGGTAGTTGTTACAGCAGTAATAGCTGAAATAGTTGTTACAGCAGTAATAGCTGAAATTCTGTCCCTAATTTGTGGTTCAAAAAAGGTTTTCTATCAACCTTTTTTGCATAACCCCAATCTGCAAATAAGTGGGTGAGTTGGATGAGACCACATTTAAAACTCCAACAGGCTTCTATCAGACCTCAGAAACAGGAAAAAACTGTCCCTTGCTTGATGACATCAGCACACCTTGTTATTGGCTGTAAGTCATGCTGAACATTATTTTAACCACTGTGAGATCCCTCCCTCTCATTTTATAATTAGACCTTTGCTGAATCAGCCTTTCCTCAAATGATCAACCAAGGGCAATTTTTATCTTCCCCAGAGCCACAATCCTGCAGCAGTTTTGAGCAAATCACTGCAGAAGCAGTATTTCTTCCAGGCCCATGGCAATTGTAATCTCTCATTATTTGCCAAATAACTAATGAATTTTGAGAATCTAGGTATCAGGGAGAGGCAGGGACAATTTTGAATCCTTTTTCTACAGTATGAGATAATGTATGCAAAGCATTAACATTTGTTAGACTGGGCTCTCCGGAAAACAAAACCTGGAATTGAGACATATGTGCAGTTTTACTGGGAAGTGATTTCAGGAGAGTTAAACCTATAAGGAAGGCAGGAATGGGCAGAGGGAGAGGCTGAACTGTAGTGTGAATGCAGCTAGTACTGTGGTTGATCTTACATTGAGATCTGGAACTAGCATGTCCCTACAGTACATCCCAAACAGACATGTGATTTGTAATCCTGGAACCACCAGTAATTTGTTACTGGTAAACATCTGATGGTATATGCGGCATAAACCTGGGTAAGGCAGTTACTTGTGGCTGAGTACAATTCCCATCAAGAGATGAGCTGTGAGCTATCAGCAGCTGATATTTCCAGCAGTTGAAGGATGGATATCTCAGTCCTGAAGAGGGGATCTGGGCAGAGCACCCCAGTATCTATTACAGTGCACATCTTATACCACTATTATTCACTTCTTTTTTATTATGTTTTCTAGAAACGGGGTCTTGCTCTGTCACCCAGGTTGGAGTACAGTGGAGCAATTATATCTCACTGCAACCTTGGACTCCTGAGCTAAAGTGATCCTCCCACCTCAGCGTCCTGAGTAGCTGGCACTATTGGAGCACACCACCATGCCTGGCTAAATTCTTTTTAAATTTTTTGTAGAGACAGGGTCTCACTATGTTGCCTAGGCTAGTCTTGAATTCCTGGCCTTCACCACTAGATGGATGGTCTGGTGACCAGACATATCCTGGAAAATGGTGTCCCATCTTCTAAGGGGGTCATCTCCAAGCTGGCACCTCAGCTGTGTCTCTGAGAAACCTTTCTGTCACTCCGTCAAGGCAGCAGACCCAGACCCCTACAAGCTTCACTGGGGTGGTAGGCCCCTGAATTTCCAAAGGTTTATCACCCATCCTTGGAAGCACATGTGTCTTACCAAGTATTTGTCACTTCTTGTCATCTAGCTCAATGACTATGTCATCAACATGGCGAATGAATCTGATGTTCTACAGAATTTACAGATGATTACAGATCCCTTTGGACTACATCATGACTGAAGGTGGAAAGGTTAACACAGACCTGGGGAAAGGCTATGAAAATACACTCTCCTATGTCTCATATGAATGAAAACTGCTTATGTGTCTCCTTCCTGAGAGACAAAAAGTAATATATGTGCTAGGTAAATGTGTGCATATCCTATGCCAGAGGCTGTGTTAATCTGCTCCAGCAAAAGTGCTGCATCCAGCACAGCAGCTGCAATTGAGATTACTACTTGCTTGTTTGCAGCAGTTGAACCACCTGGTTTCTGCAGGGATCAGACTAGTGGACTTCTCCAGTGATTCACTTGGGAAATTTCTATTTCCTGCCTCTGCAATCTCTGCAGGTCTCAGGGCCTTGATTGTTACAGGGGAAATGCAATTTCACTAAATTTGACAGAGACCACCATCCTTGCATTCTTTAGGTATTTTAAGGAGTGGCATTAATCTTTCCTCAGCATTAAAAATGTCCAAGATTGCAGGACATCGTATTTACTTTGATTCACTATCTGGGCCAGGGATAAATTGGGAAGAGGGGTCAGATTCAGAGCCTTTCACTTTGCCTTCACTTCTATGAGCTCTCTTACCCCCCAGGTCAAGGAACCAATGTGAGTGTTCTGCCAGCTACTAAGTCTGGCCCTTCCAATTATACTTTAGGGGACAAAAGAAATAGCATCTTCATAGGTCCATGGGCTAGATGGACTCACAGTTAGCCAGTCCTGAGTCAAGACGCCATCTACCACCCACTGGGGGTCAGGGTGCCACTTTGAGTCTCCAGGTACTAATAAAGTCAGACTGTGTGCCCAACAATCCTCACAAGTCTGGGTGTCCTCCTTTCCCCAGTGCATGCTTTCCTAGTAAATGTCCATAGGTCTATTTGGGGAAAGATACAGAGGGTTACATGGTATTGCAGTGTGTTTCCTTATAGGATGCTGGCCTCTCCTTCAGTCAATGGGTTTAGAGTCTGAGAGTTGGCCCAAGTTCAAAAACTGAGCAACAGATCATGACTTTTATTGAGGTGATTGCCTTTAGTTTCCGGATCATGCATCCTTGGTTTCTTTTGATTGTATAAATTAAGTAGTATCCTTTCGGCTGCCTCACTCTTCTGCCTCTAGGAATACAGTGTCCCATTCAGCATCTCCAAGCTTTCTGCAGATTGAGACCCCTGGCTGCCACTCTGGTTTTGTCACTTGTGATATTTGTTTGTATCTTTCTTCCAAGGGTTAAAATGTCATCTGGTCTCTAATATTTCAGATTTTTATCACCCCATTGCTTTTAGGAGCCCAACTTTTTAATAGCATCTGAGCCTCTCAGTGGTTCCAGTGCCCCTCCCAGCAACACCTTCTTATTACTTGATTAAACTGAGTGTCTTCTGGGTTCTCCCACAGAAAACTGTTGGGTTTTCTGGCTCTAAGTGGTGTACCCACTATCCTATTCCCACTTTTCTGAATCATTTGACCCCTTCTGTATTAATCTGTTCTTACAATGCAATAAAGAAATACCTGAGACTGGGTAACTTATAAAGAAAAGAGGTTTAATTGGCTCATGGGTTCTGCAGGCTACATAAGAAGCATAGTGGCTTCTGCTTCTGGGGAGGCCTCAGGAAACTTACAATCATGGCAGAAGGTGAAGGGGTAGCAGGCACAACTTACATGGCTGGAGCAGAAGATAGAGAGAGGTGGGGGAGGGCCTACACACTTTTAAACAACCATATCTCACAGAGCTATAACACAAGAACAGCATTGCGGGATGGCGATAAACCATTCATGAGAAACCACCCACCTCCCCACCCTGCCCCACATGATCCAATCACCTCCCACCAGGCCCTACCTCCAGATTAGGGATTGCATTTGAACATGAGATTTGGGTGAGGACACAGATCCAAACCAAATCCCCTTCCTTCACCACCTGCCAGTAAATCTTAACTTTTATTATCTTAGGCAACTCAACCTCAGTATTTTATCTATTCCTAGTTTCCATTAGTAATTCAGATGGACAGAGAAATAATGGTAAGCAGTTTGGGAGATAAGCTCCTAGAATACATAGATATAATTAAGACAAATTTAGTTTCTATTTCAACTTATATTGCTTGTCATGTCTTCAGCGAGCAAGAAAATAGCTGTCTTGGAAAATTTACCAAATGAGTTCTTTTTATTGAG
This sequence comes from Homo sapiens, assembly GCF_000001405.40. Classification (NCBI taxonomy): domain Eukaryota; kingdom Metazoa; phylum Chordata; class Mammalia; order Primates; family Hominidae; genus Homo; species Homo sapiens. The sequence continues at coordinate 31,347,251 of NC_000008.11, read as the reverse complement.
AAATTGTGTCATTATTTATTGATGCCTCAGTGAAAACCTAATAGAACTCCATCTGCCATATAGAAAGTAATTACCTTCCAATGATCTGATGATTTTATAGATATGCAGCTAATATTAGAAATTTGCTGTAGAAACTGAAAAAATTGTTGACTACCACCCTTGAGCCCTGCAAAAAATCAATGAAATATATGTTTGCTTTTATCCTGGAGCAAAATTGAAATAATTTACTTCCTTGTCCCTGTTGGACCTGCTGCTAAAACAGGACTTGATTTTACCCTTGCGATTGGCCTGTTCCATTCTGGTATTTGGTCAGATATTGCCAAGTGAATCTCATTCTTAATCTTCATGGGCTAGCAGCCTACAATAACATAGAACAATTCTACCACCCTTTAGTCTAAGCAGGGGCTATCCAAAATTGTAAATGCTTTATTCCATTTTAACCAAGCAGAAAGTCAGATTCTCATAGGAGTATGTTGCTTAGACCTGTAAATCAGCTTAGAAAATTCACTGATTGTTAACTGAATGTTTCCTGAAAAACAAAGTTAACTAGTGGAAGACGAGGTGAGAGAAACTTTGGGCTAAATGGGCTATATCTTCCATGACCAGATTTGGAAAACTTTTAGATATTTACATCCATTTCTTAAGAGTAAATTTCATAAAAACAGGCCATTTGCTGATCTGATATCCTTTCTTTAGGGAAATCATCTGTGTATCTAAATGAAAGTGCTCCCCCTCCACACACACACACACACAAAAGAAACACAGGACAATCTTTGTTAGCGTCCATCTAGCTTTCAGGTTAAAAAGACAGTCCTAAAGGCTATGCATGGTGGTTTACGCCTATAATCCCAGCATGTTGGGAGGCTGAGGTGGGAGGATAGCTTGAGTTCAGAAGGTCAATGCTGCAGTGAGCTGTGATTACACTCCTGTACTCCAGCCTGGGTGATAGAGCGAGACCATGTCTGAAACAAACAAACAAACAAAAAACAGTCTATCTGTTCTGCTGGCTCACCAGCCATTAAAGCTGGAATCCAGCTGTCTGAAAGTGAACTGAAAGACACTCTTACTTCATCTCATAGATGGATTCTGGTATCATTTTGGCTTGATTTTAGCAGGGAACGTTGTGGGAATAGGACCAGACTAAGAACCAGCCCTGATAAGTTCCTGCCAGGTTCTCCATGTGGGTTAAGAAATGGAGCTAGGGAAAATGGGAGGAAATCCTTTGGAAAAACACAGAATAAAATAAACAGATTTCTTTAAATTGCCAGTCAGACTCAGTGGACATATGAACATCGCGAAGGCAAAGGAGAACCTTGCAATGTACTGTCTGTTTCCCAAATTACTTTTCTCTCCCCTTGAGCTTCAAGAAAGTGATATTCCTATTTCTGGCAAGGTTCAAGTGAATTCTATTTGGGGTCGGTTTGCAGCACTTAAATTGCTTCGGGGCCTGTTATGATTGGAATTCTGTTTCCTCAGTGACACTGCAACAAAATACCATCTCCTTAAAAGTAGTAATTATCAGAAAATCAGGACCATACCACTTAGCCAGCACTATGCAGAGGGTAAGGGGAGATTGTAGTGGTATCTTAGCTTTCTCCAACCACTCTTGTTAACACAAGGTAATTTGGGGTTCTTTTGATGCCTGGAAAAACATGACATCATTGGGGGTAATCTTTTTTATCACGTATGCTGAGGCATCCAAATGGGTCTTTGAAGAGGACTTAATTAGCAACTGTGGCCCTCAGCTCCATATGTATCCTGATGACACTCAGATTTATCTTTCCCTCCCTTAAGACATTAGTGAGGAAGATGAAAAATGAACGGTCCTTGCTAAATGCACAGTCCTTAGAGCTCGCAGGAAATAAATATCCTGTCTCCAAAATAAGAACTATCTAAAGAAGATAAACTTGGTGCTTCCCCTCAGTTCCCCTGATTCTCACTCTATTTCCTATTTGCTTTTTCCATTGTTTTGTTTCAGTATTTATATACAGTACCTGTAATGGGAGATAGTCAAAGAATATATTTAATGTCCCCAAAGGCAGTGAGCTACATGCCAAAATGAGAGGTTGATTTCCAGGCCTAAGTCAACCAATTGAATAATCTAAAGTAAGGGAAGAAAATAACTCATTGTGTACATTGGGAATTATGTTAACTGCAAGTAACAGAAAACCAACCTAAAAGAAACTTAAATCAATAAAGTTGTAATCTGTTCTTGGATTAGCTGACTGTTGGCATAGGATTAGCAGCTCAATACTGTTAGGACTTTGGTCTTTGAAACTGTTTTGGCCCTTCACTCAGAGTTTCAAGGTGACTGTTGTTGCTCCAAGTATCATGTCCTCACTCAAAACAGGAAGAAGAGAAGTCAGTACCAAAATATTTGTAAAATTCCCCAGAAAATACTCTCTGGCCAAAAGTACTTAGCATGGCCAATCCTGGCTTCAAGGGTGGCTGCAAAAGTATTTCATTTTCCTCACCTCTGTAACAAAACGTGACAAAAGGCAAGCTGATTGGGAATGACTCTTTTGCCAACACAGTCAAGAGTCTGCCATGACCAGGATGTTGTTTTCCTCAACAGTTCAACCATAAGAACAGAAGAAGAGTTCGGCCATAAGAATCATTTTTATTTCAGAAAACATTTTAGAATAAAAGAGGTGACACTGTTCAGAATTGTGCCAAAAAATAGAAGCTAATCAAGACTGCCTTGGGGAAATTGGCATATATGGCTACCCTAGTTATAGACAAAATAGTCTGACAAATCAGCCCCTCTTTCTTTAGCAGCTTGATTGGACAACTGAAAATCTGCTTCTCTAGTGAGGAGAGTCTCTCAGGCTAAACCCAGTGTTGTCCAATGTCCTTTTCTGTTTATGCCTCCCAGCTGCCCTCAGTTTTGGAGAAGGCCAGATCAGTTTTCTATGGGAGACTTTGTCATGACCATGTCTTAGTCCATTTGTGTTGCTGTAAAGGAAATACCTGAGGCTGGGTAATTTATAAATAAAATAGATTTCTTTGGCTCATGGCTCTGCAGGCTATAAAACAAGAACGGCGCCAGCATCAGCATCTGGTGAGGACTTCATGGAGCTTCCACTCAAGGTGGAAGGTGAAGGAAAGCAGCATCACATGGCTGAAAGAGAGTGAGGGAAGGCAGGTGTCTGACTCTTAACCAACCAGATCTCACATGAACTAAGAGGGAGAATTCACTGGATTCCATGAGAATGGCAGGAAGCCATTCATGAGGGATCCTCCCCAATGAATGGGAGGCCCCAAATACCTCCCACTAGGCCTCACCTCCAACATGAGAGATCAAATTTCAACATGAGATTTGGAGGGGACAAATGATAACAGACCATTTAGCAAATAATGCTCAGAGGCCCTTTCTCCTCTTGCTTTTATGTAGATGAAGACTTTCGAGTACATACTGTCCTTGCCTTTCACTTACTTGCCATCCTGCCTGTGTCCATGAAGACGACAGTGCTCCACAAGACAGAGAGTCTCAGAAATTAGACATTTCTATCATTTAAAGAGAATGGAAGTGCTGTCTCCCCACCTGACCGGCTTCATAGTGGGGTTCTCCTTAAAGACAAACAAGAAGTTTACCAGTAGCATAAATGGAAACCTACCTGAGCATTTGACTTTTCTATCCTTACTTTATACCCTTATTCATTCATAAGGACAACAAATAATGTTGGAGTGGAATTTTGTCCCTGGCACCCTGATTCCAAGGTGGTATAAGGTTATTTCTATTCTTATAGTTAGAAATAGTTTCTGATGCCAAAGCATATCACTGGAATACTAATAAATGTATGACTCTATCTTGAATTCTAGTTATTTTTATATAACTTATCTTTCTAACTTGATGAAGGTTTTTATGTTCCTCTCAAAAACTTTTTTGGCTTTTCAAATTTTCTACTATAAGCAAAATGCAATGTTCCTTTTATTTTTTTTTTCTGTGATTTTTCCTGAATTTTTAAGGAATGCATACTTGGAAGAAATCAAATATCACAGAAATAAAGAGTGAAAAGTGAAGGTTATCTATAATTGTATCCTACCACCTTTGCTAACTATCAGAGATAACCACGATTAATATTTGGTATAAATATATATATATATATATACATACATAAATGCATTACTGACATATATGCATATAAAATTTGTTTCTGTGAGATGCATACAATTTAATTTTTCAGTCTATGAGTATATTGTACATCATTCTTTTTAATGACTATAATGTGTGCCATTATCACTAATGGTGTGAGAAATTCTTTGGATATTGAAGCCACTGTGGATTGTGGCAGTTCTTTTGGATGGGAAAGACAGGAAAATTTTACATGGCTATAGTAGCAAAACTATTAGAGAATTATACTTTACAATGGAACAAAGTATACAAATAGGCTATAGTTTTCTCCCATAAAATATTATTATGAAGTAAGATTTTTCCAAAATATCTTCTATTTCCAGAGTGAGCACAGAACTAGCTTTGTATGAATGCCACATTCTGTGGTTTTCACTTATCCCTGAAGTGACATTCATCCTATTAACAGTTTTAATAGGATGAATGTCATTTCAAGGATCTTTTATTTTTCAAAACAACAAAAAATAACCATTTCCATAGTCTAGATATAATTATATACATTAAAATAAGCCATTCTTTTAAATAAAATGTTAACATTCCCCCACATATTTGACATTTTTCTCTAATGAATACACTGTTGTACTGGCATTTTCTTATAATGTGTTATTTTAAGGGCTCCTTTTTCTAACATTGTAAATTTAACCGGCATGAGCTAATTAATGAGCTCAAGTTAACCTTCCTTCCCCTCCAAACCTTAACTACCCACCCAGTCTTTTAGAATTCATTCCTAGGCTTTAAGACCACTTAGAATTTAGAAAACTTTTTTCTTTTGACTGCACTGTGATTATTTCCCTACTTGTTTAATCATTTTCTTTCTCTACTAATACTTCCATAGCACAAAATTCACATTTTTTTGTAATTCTGCAGCTTTTTCCCCCAAGCCCCCAAAGCATAAACTACATGAATCTGAAATATGTGTGTTTGTTTGTTTGACACTAATTCTCTTTCTCCCACTGGCAGACAATCTTACTCCTAAGTTTATGAGGCCATATTCTCTGTTCATGGAGCACTTGGCAAATTATTGACTTAAAATTACAGAGTGGTTTAGGAAAGATCAAAGCAGAATCCTCAAGGAAGTCCATTTAACCTCTTAGTATCTCTTTTAACTTTTCAGTAAGGTGCTTTTGTAAAATCTAGTGTTTGCTTTATTTAATCCCTTCATTTGTGTCCTCCAATCTCCAGTAATGGAAAGTGTGATACAGACACAAAAGCTTAAGGACCAGTGTGCTATAAAACCCATACTTACCCTCTAGGGCAGCAGTCCTCAAAATGTGGCACACAGAGCCCAACCAAGGGTCCCCAGGAAACTTGCAGTAACTCTGTCTGCAGAAACACTTTCAGAGGGTCCACAGGGTCAAAATTATTTTCATAATAATACTAAGACATTATTTTCCTTTTTGTTGTGTTGATATTTGCATTGATGATGCAAAAGTAATGGTGGACAGAACTGCCAGTACCTTACAAAATCAAGGCAAAACATGTATTTGAAAAAAAAAAAAAAAAAAAGCCAGTTTCACTTAAGAATGTCCTTGATGAAGCAAGACTTTTGATATTATTAAATCTCAACCCTTGAGGTACACTCTTTAATATTTTGTGTGCCAAAACGGGAAGTACGCATATCTAAGTACAATTGTTATCTTGAGGGAAACTGTTGTGCAATTGATTTTTCACCTGAACTACCTATTTCTTCCTGGAACACCAATTTTATCAGAAAGAATGACGGCAGGCAAATAAAGATTATTTGGACGTGGATATTTGCAAAATATTTTCTCAAAAAAAGAATGAGAGAAGCCTGTCGCTTCTAGGAAAACCAATTGTATTTGTTGCTAATGATAATACTTAAACTTTCTATCAAAAATTGGTATTATGGAAAACATTTGCCTGCCATAATGAGTTTGACAACTTCCCAAGATTTAGAGATTTTTCTGATATCAGTGCTGAAAGTGACTTTTTTATATTTTAGAATTATGTCAGCATTTTGAAGATCTGTATAATTTGCTGAACCAACATTTTCCAAATGATCAAGACATAATATTACAAAGTCAAGTATGGATAAAAAGACCATTCAAAGTGTAGTGTAGACTAATGGGTCTTTACATGACAGAGTACAAAAAGTTCATTGATATGGTTTTAGAATTTATTTGTAACTAATCTTTAAGATACTATAACTTGTCGGCCAGGCGCAATGGCTCACACCTGTAATCCCAGCACTTTGGGAGGCCGAGGCAGGCGGATCACGAGGTCAGGAGATCGAGACCATCCTGGCTAACACCGTGAAATCCCGTCTGTACTAAAAATACAAAAAAACTAGCCAGGTGTGGTGGCGGTTGCCTGAGGCAGGAGAATGGCGTGAACTCAGCAGGCAGAGCTTGCAGTGAGTCAAGATCACGCCACTGCACTCCAGCCTGGGCGACAGCAAGACTCCGTCTCAAAAGAAAAAAAAAAGAAACTATAACTTGTCAAATTTAGGTATAATAAAGGAAAATATCCACAACTATCTGAAAAGTCTATTAAAATTCTCCTTTTTTTCTCCCTTTAGCCTGTGTTAGCCTGAATTTTCTTCATAAACTTCAATCAATAGGACATATTGCAACAGACTAAATATGCATTTGAGAATCCTGCTGTCTTTTATCAGTTCAGACACTTAAAATATTTGCAAAAATAAAGCAATGCCTACCCTATTCAGTATTGTTTTGCTAGATAGGATTTTCTTTGCTTAAAGAACATATTTTTATATTACCATATAATGAGTTTTTTATTTTTAAATAAATAAGAAAATATTTTTAATTATCAGTTTTAACTTTAATATAGTAAATATTGATGGATATAATGCATATAAACAAAAGGTCTTTCAGACCTTCCATTTTTAAGAGTATAAAGAGTTCTCGAGATTAAAAACATTGAGAAATGCTGTTCTAGTAAAATGTTCATAAAGGGAAACAAGTGAGTATACAAATTTCATTGACTAATGTAGGAACCAAAGGATAAGAAATTAAATAAATTTTTACTAGGTCTTTCTATTGCTCAGGTTCATTTGGTTGCAAACAACCAGCTCATGGAAAGACCACATCAACCAGGACTACTACACGTTTTAGCTTCAGCAACCATCATCAATTAACAATGTCCCTGTGGATGTATTAGTTCAAATTTGTGAGAGATTAAGCCCATTTGTCTCAGCCAACAATTATCATCTCTGGGAAGATTCCTCCATCTGAAAGCCTGCCATAGTTCACTGTTTAGCCTATGGTTGGGCCACCCCTGAGTGGTTACATCAGTGGCCACTCGAGAGGAAAGAACAGCCCACCATCGTTTTGGAGAGAAGAAGACTTGGAGTGAGATCAGTAAAAGCCAGAAGGAAAAATCAAGTGTAACAGGAAAATGTAGTGACACGTTCACAAACTCTGTTTCATAGTCTAATACAGCACACACATGACAGGTTACTGTGACTTAGACCAGGCTTGCAAAATTAAAGCTAGGACTGAGAATAAAATCCAAATCTCAACTTGCCTTCCAGAACCTTTGCAATTAATTCATGTTTTGAAATCTTTCTCAGTCTTTGATGCATTAGGGGTCATCCTCCAACCACTGCCCACCCTAGCATCGACCAGTCCTGTCACATGTTGACCCTAAACTGCCCACCTTAATCCACTTTGAACTATACTCCTCTTTCTGTAGAAACAAGCCAGCCATTTGTATTCCTCTCTCCACCATCACTAACCACAAGAATAAAAAAATAAGGATACCTTGACTCATCAAAGATAGAAAATGCTTAGGTTGTACAGAATAAAGCCCAGCATTTCATCCCACTTTGTTTTTTTCTGAGGCCTTTTGATCTGCACGTTTTTTTCTCCCTCCTTCTCTCCTGTCTTCTTAGAAATAACGTGGACTCTCCCTAGGGGATGCTGAAGAGCAGACACACGGATCCTTTGACAAATCAATAATGGCCAAAAAAAATGTATTAGTTAACAAGATTATTAGTTCCCCCTTTTCAGGAAAAAAAACAAAACAAAACAAAACAAAACATCATATTGCATCATATTGTTTCTCAAGAGCTTTAGAAGCACCACTGACTAGCAACACTGAGAAAGCTACAGTCAGAGCAAACCTTTTCAAACATTTAATAATTGACAGCGCTTACCACGGAGGTTGGGGAAGCAGAATTGGTGTGATTGACCTTGAAGCATCTCCTTCCCCTCCATTCACTCCTTTCTCAAAACATAAAATTGCTTCACTTTGACACTAAGGCTTACCAAGGCAAAAGCAGACAAAATAAAGGTCTTTAAGAACTTAAATGACACGGAAACTTTCCAATTGCACTTCAGAATAATACATTAGTCTTATTGTGACAACTAGTCCTTCTCATTTCTCACTCACACTTTCTTTTTTCTCTGCAGCAGAAACCACTTTTATTAAGTATAAATCCATTCTCAGTTTTTGCAGTATTGGCCAATTGAAGGGCATCTCTTCCCCCAACCAGGACCTGGCCCAGGGGCTGGCATGTAGTGGATACAATATGTTTGTGTGAAATGAAAGAATTCAACATAGCATTCATTTTGATTTACTCTAGATCTTTTCATTAAGAAAACATTAACGGTACAAATGTGAGATAATTATAAGGAAGAGAAGGTGAAGGGATACCAAATAAGTTTTTTAAAGTTATTTGTTTAGATAAAGTTGGTCTAAAAAATAACATGAAACTAACAATTTTTCCTTTTTTTATTTTGAGACTGAGTCTCACTGTATCGCCCAGGCTGGAGTACAGTGGCCAGTCCTAGTGGTACAATCTCGGCTCACTGCAACATCTGCCACCAGGAGTCAAGTGATTCTCGTGCCTCAGCCTCCCAGGCAGCTGCGATTAGAGGTGCCCGCCACCACACCCGGCTAATTTTTGTATTTTTACTAGAGACGGGGTTTCACCATGTTGGCCAGGCTGGTCTCAAATTCCTGACCTCTAGTGATTCACCCACCTCAGCCTCCCAAAGTACTGGGATTACAGGTGTGAGCCACTGCACCCGGCCAAAACTAACAGTTTTTAAAATAAAAAGTAAATCAGTTTAATCTGCTAGTGCTCAGCATTTCTCCTTGGATAGGCCACCTACTTTTTTGTGCATCATTTTTATTTCATCAGCTGGTGCATCAAGTTCTTTAAGAATTGTTTCAATGCACATAACAACCATATGCCCCAGATTTCCTAGGGCTGTCCAAATTTCATCCACTTGCATTCTTTTCCATAACATCATTATGCTTAACACAGTGTTATTTAATTTTTATCTCTCTTGGACCTTCACTTTAATCAAAAAATCAAAAAAAACTTATCCTCAGTCTCTATCACTTTATCCCCTTTTTCTCTTGCAGAGTAAGTAGCACAGAGACCTCCATAGAACAGAAGTTAATCATGTTTATTGATTACCTAATTAATCAATTAACCAACTAGTTGATAAATGTGTTACAAGGTGACTTCCCTAAAAACTCATTCCCATCATGGAAAACATAAATCAAGTATTATTTATTTATTTATTTTACTTAAGTTCTAGGATACATGTGCAAAACATGCAGGTTTGTTACATAGGTATACATGTGCCATGGTGTTCCGCTGCACCCATCAACCCGTCATTTGGTTTTAAGCCCTGCATGAAATAGGTATTTGTCCTAATGCTCTCCCTCCCCTGGCTCCTAACCCCCCAACAGGCCCCGATGTGTGATGTTCCCCTCCCTGTGTCCATGTGTTCTCACTGTTCAACTCCCACCTATGAGTGAGAACATGCGGTGTTTGGTTTTCTGTTCCTGTGTTAGTTTGCTGAGAATGATGGTATCCAGCTTCATCCATGTTCCTGCAATGGACATGAACTCATTCTTTTTATGGCTGCATAGTATTCCATGGTGTATATGTGCCACATTTTCTTTATCCAGACTATCATTGAGTATTTGGACATTTGGATTGGTTCCAAGTCTTTGCTATTGTACACAGTGCTGCAATAAACATACATGTGCATGTGTCTTTATAGTAGAATGATTTATAATCTTTTGGGTATATATCCCATAATGGGATTGCTGGGTCAAATGGTATTTCTGGTTCTAGATCCTTGAGGAATTGCCACACTGTCTTCCACAATGGTTGAACTAATTTACACTCCCACCAACACTGTGAAAGCATTCCTATTTCTCCACATCCTCTCCAGCATCTGCTGTTTCCTGACTTTTTAATGATCACCATTCTAACTGGCGTGAGATGGTATCTCATTGTGGTTTTGATTTGCATTTCTCTAACGATCGGTGATGATCAGCTTTTTCTCATATGTTTGTTGGCCATATAAATGTCTTCTTTTCTGCATGTTGTGCACATGTACCCTAGAACTTAAAGTATAATAAAAAAAAGTGTCTGTTCATATCCTTCACCCACTTTTTAATGGGGTTGTTTTTTTCTTGCAAATTTAAGTTCCTTGTAGATTCTGGACATTAGCCCTTTGTCAGATAGATAGACTGCAAAAATTTTCTCCCATTCTGTACGTTGCCTGTTAACTCTGATGATAGTTTCTTTTGCTGTGCAGAAGCTCTTCAGTTTAATTAGATCCCTCAAATATTCTTTCATTTTAAAATACCCTTAAGGAAGAAGATAATACTGTAAAATGGCTAAGAAGACAGTCTCTGGACTGAAAATTTGAAAGTATTTCTTCTCTATGCACTCCCCTATTCACCTGCTATAACAAACTCAACACCCATTTTCCTAGACATAATATAATTGAACTCCCAAAGGGGGCCAAAATGGAAAGATGCATGATTATAAAAGTTTTCTGAAAGATATGTTCCATTGTTTACAAACTTATAGAAAGAAGGAAGAAAAGGATGGGGAAAGAGTATGCTAGACATCTGCTGTGAGTTAGTCAGGGTTCTTCAGAGAGACAAAACCAACAAGATATGTATGAGGGTGGGTTATCAGGGAATTGGCTCACACAAACACAGAGGTAGAGAAGTATCACCATAGGCTGCCAGCAAGCTAGAAAACAGAAGAAGCCAGTAGCAAGGCTTGGTCCAACTCTGGAAGCCTCAGGAACAGAGAAGCCAAAGACGAAGCCCTCAGTCTATGCCTGAAGGCTCAAGAGCCCCTGGGAGACTGCAAGTGCAAGTCCCAGAGTCCAAAAGCTGAAGAACCTAGAGTCTGATGTCCAAGGGCAGGAGGAAAAAAAGCAGGGAAGGGAGAGGGCAAGAGCAGAGAGTGCATATCCCCATTCTTCCCCATGTTTGTCCCAACCAGGGCTCCCAGCTAATTGGGTAGTACCCCCACATTGAGAGCTGGAAATCCTTTCTCAGTCCACTGACTCACAGCAATCTCCCCTGAAAGCACTGTCTGAAAGCAGACATAACCCAGAAACGATGCTTCACCAGCCATCAAGGCATCCCTCAACCCAGTCAAGTTGTCCCCTAAAATTAATCATCACATCTTCTCAAATGGTGTTTAACATTCCTTCACTTAGTTACTTCCAAATTTCCATCAAAATGCCTAAAAAGACACAGAAAAAGATAAAACTTACAATATCAAATAATGAGGCTGATTGTCAACCTGTTGCCAACTATGAGAGTAGCTTTCACTGTCTAGGAAGCTAATGGTCTCAGAGTCAACCCTGCAGCTTCCATGGCCCCCCTCCTCTTCAGAGAAAGCCACTCTAGAGCTTCACTGTCAGTACCCACTAGTCACTTGTGGCATTTAAAATTTTAATTTAAAGTGATTAAAATTGAGTAAAATTAAAAGTCTAGTTCCTCAGTACTAGATAGCCACAGTGGCTAGTGGAGGCCACATTGAACAGCACAGATACAGAACATGTCCATCGTCACCTGAGGTTCTATTAGCCAGGCATACTTTTAGAACAGGATCTGGGTGGGCTCTGCCTTTCAATCCTGATCACTCCCCTTGTATATGCAAAACATTTTCTTTGTTTTTTGTTTGTTTGTTCATTTCAGATGAAGTCTCCTTCTGTCATCTACGCTAGAGTGTAGTAGCACGACCTTGGCTTACTGTAACCTCCACCTCCCAGGTTCAAGCAATTCTCCTACCTCAGCCTCCCAAGATTACAGGCACCTGCCACCAGACCCAGCTAATTTTTATATTTTTAGTAGAGACGGGGTTTCACCATGTTGGCCGTGGTTGGCCAGGCTGATCTCAAACTCCTGAGCTCAGGTAATCTGGCCTCCTTAGCCTCCCCAAGTGCTGGGATTATAGGTGTGAGCCACCGTGCCCAGCCCTTTTTCTTTGGATTTTATTTTGGCTCTATAGTGATTCCTTTGAACTAGACATTTCAAATCCTTCCCTGCTTCTTGATCAGCCTGTACCCAGGAAACTAGTGCCATTTTGCCTGTTTATGCCCTGCCATTTCTACACAGAGACCAAGTTGTCCCTGCGATCACTGTCTATTATCTGCTGAGTAGAGGAAGGTTAGATAGTAATTTATAGAGGACTCAAGGCTAAAGATTTCCACCGATTTTCCCCAGTTTCCTTCCCTGCCCAGGCATCTGACCCTATCCTGATGAGGGACACAGGCCTGACTCTCTGAGGTGAAATTTTCTGTCCAAACAAGGAGATGTAACTAGGTATCTATAATCCTAGCACACGAGCTTCCAGAAACTAGTTGCTAAAGGTGAGAATTAGAGGTATCAGAAGAGGCCGGGTGTGGTGGCTCACACCTGTAATCCCAGCACTTTGGGAGCTCGAGGCGGGTGGATCACAAGGTCTGGAGTTCGAGACCATCCTGGCCAATATGGTGAAACCCCGTCTCTACTAAAAAACACAAAAAATGAGCCGGGTGTGGTGGCACACGCCTGTAGTCTTAGCTACTAGGGAGGCTGAGGCAGGAGAATTGCCTGAACCCGGGAGGCGAAGGTTGCAGTGAGCCGAGATCACATCACTGAACTCCAGCCTGGTGACAGAGTGAGACTCCATCTCAAAAAAAAAAAAAAAAAAGAGAGAGAGCTATCAAAAGGAACTCTAGCCATCCTGCCAACAGGTATAAAAAACCATGGAGGAAAAACATCTGCAATACAAAGCATATAGATGACAACAGCTCATCACATAATAAAAAAGATTAATGAGAAAAGACCCACACCCAGATATTTCTTTTTTTTTATTATTATACTTTAAGTTCTAGGGTACATGTGCACAACATGCAGGTTTGTTATATATGTATACATGTGCCATGTTGGTGTGCTGCACCCATTAATTCATCATTTACATTAGGTATTTCTCTTAAGGCTATCCCTCCCTGCTCCCCCAACTCCATGACAGGCCCCAGTGTGTGATGTTCCCCGCCCTGTGTACAAGTGTTCTCATTGTTCAATTCCCACCTATGAGTGAGAACATGCGGTGTTTGCTTTTCTGTCCTTGCAACAGTTTGCTCAGAATGATGGTTTCCAGCTTCATCCATGTCCCTACAAAGGATATGAACTTATCCTTCTTTATGGCTGCATAGTATTCCATGGTGTATATGTGCCACATTTTCTTAATCCAGTCTATCACTGATGGACATTTGGGTTGATTCCAAGTCTTTGCTATTGTGAATAGTGTTGCAATAAACATACATCACACCCAGATATTTCATGGTTATTGATTAAAAGGAAAAAGTATTTAAAGCATCCAGATCTTTAGAGACAGGTAATCTGAAAAGAAATAAAAATCAAACTGGCCGCAGACTTCTCTGAAATAAACACTAGATTTCAACAGAGCAATGTCAACATTATTTTGAAAGAAAAATGATTTACTCTAAGAAGTTTTTCACTAGCTGAGTTATTCATAAGTGATGAAAATGAAAAAACACAAAGTAAACTGCTTACATTCCTGTATTAAAGTAAGTTTCAATAACTAGCGGTTGGGGAAGATGGAAGGGTAGAAAGCACCAGGAGTCTGGCCGTGCTCCTAGACAACAATTATACTGGCAAAATCTGCCTAATGTAACTATTTTTGCAACTCTGGAGTCTACTGTAAGCTTGCAAATTCCAGGGGAAGGTATAAGGTAAAAGCACAATTAATTTTAATTTTAGCTCTTAAAACGGTAGCAGCTACCCATCCCCCAGTTCTTGGAGAAACTTGCATGCAGCCTATGGGCTCCAGGGTGGGCAAAAAGGATGTTGTCTTCCAAATATTAGAGATCTGCATCCGATCACTGATTGCTACTTCTGATCACAGAGGTGCACACAAGAAGGTGGGCAGACTTTGTTGTTGTACCTCCCTGAATTGTTACAGGCTCCTTCCCATCTGGCTGAAGTGACTTCCAGAGGATTCAAAGAGCCAGCACCCTTTTTGTTTCCTCCCTTCATTTTTCCCCTTTTGAGAATGAGAGATTAGAAACTAGGATATCCAAAAAAAAAAAAGAGTTGAATATACAGGAAAAATTAAAAAATTATCTCATATTCCCGTAGAAAGGCAAAGGCTCAGAAAAGACTTGAGAAGATCTTAAGTTTACATCTCAAACTGGCACAGAGTTAGCCTAAAACCATCAAAAAAACAAAAACAATAAACAATAACAAAAAAACAGCAAACCTGGGCAAAGAGGAGAATCTGATTTCCAAAGATACGTTATCAAATTCAAATACTGTTTTCAACAAAAAAAATCACAAGACATACAAAGAAACAAGAATGTATGGCACATTCAAAGGAGAAAAAAATTAATCAACAGAAACTGGCCTTGAAAAGATCTGATGACAGATTCACTACACAAAGATGCTCAAAGAACTTAAGGAATATGTGGAGAAAGTCCAGAAAATCATGTTATTAACAAAATAGAAATAGCAATAAAGATGTAGAAAACCTAAAAAGAAAACAAAAAATTCTGGAGCTGAAAAGTACAATTGAAATAAAAACTCACTAAAGCAATTAAAAGGCAGATTTTAGGAGGCATAAAAAAGAATCAGTGAACTTCAACATAGGACAATGGAAATTATTGAGTATTAAGAACAGAAAGAAAAAAGGTTGAAGAAAGTAAACACAACCTAAGGGATATGTGTGACACCATCAAAAAGACCAACTTATGCATTATGAGAATTTCACAAGGAGAAAAGAAGGATAGGTAAAGAAAATATTTGAAGAAAAAATAATAGAAAACTTCCCAAACTTGATGAAAGAAATGAACATAGATGTCCAAGAAGCTCAACAAACTCCGAGAAAGACGAATTCAAAGAGAATTACACCAAGCCACATTAAGAGAGAATCTTGAGAGTAGCAAGAGAAAAGCTACTTGTCACATAAAAGAGATACTCAATAAAATTAACAGCAGATTTCTCACTAGAAATTTTGGAAGCCAGAAGTCTGTGGGCTCATATATTCAAAGTGCTGAAAGAAAAACACTGTCAACCAAGAATTCTATTAACATATCTGGCAAGACTGTCCTTTAAAAGTAAGGGAAAAAATAAGATATTCCCAGATAAACAAAAGCTACAGGAATTCATTACCACTAGACTTGCCCTGCAAGAAATTATAAATGGAGTCCTACAAGGTAAAATGAAAGGACACTTGCTCAAAGCCATATGAAGAAATATAGATCTCAATAAAAGTTAATATATGGGCAACTGTAAAAGCTAGTATTATTGTAGCAAGGGTAACTTCTTTCTGTATTCTACATGATTTAAGAGACTAATACATTTTAAGAAAAACAGTTAATAGTCTAAAAGCAAGTATTATTGTAACTTTGGTTTGTATTAATGACTCCACATTTTGATTGTTACATAACTTAAGAGATAATACATTTGAAAGAACTATTTTATGTTTTGTGGCATACAATCTATAAGGATGTAATTCTGTGACTTCAACACCTGAAAGGAGTAGGCACCGAGCTGTAAAGGAGCAGAGTTTTTATATGTTATTGAAGTTAAGATATTATAAATTCAAAATAGAATGTTATAACATTAGACTATTAAACGTAATCCCCATGGTAGCCACAAAGAAAATGGCTATAGAAAATACACAAAAAGAAATGAGGAAGAAATTTAAGCATTCCACTAAAATCAAAAATTTACATATAAAAGAAGACAGTTAAATAGAAAATGAGGGACGTAAAAGCTATAAGGCACACAGTAAGCAAATAGCAAAATGACAGAAGTTCTTCCTATTATGCATTACTTTAAATGTAAATGGATTAAACTATCCAATCAAAAGACAGAAATTAGCAGAATCCCTAAAAACACATATCCAACTACATGTTGTCTACAAGAGACTCATTTTAGATCTAAAGACACAAATAGGTTAAAAGTGAAAGTATGGAAAAAGGCATCCCATACAAATAGTAACCAAATGAGATCCAGGGTGGCTATACTAATATGAGACAAAATAGACTTTAAGTCAAAAAGGTTTACAAGAGACAAAGAAGGACATTATATACATTTTTAAAGTTCAATACAACAAGAAGATATAACAATTATAAACACTTACATACCTAATGTGTAAATCAAAATCCAAATACGTTAAGCAAAAACTGACAGAATTAAGGAAGAAATAGATAGGTCTACAATAATAGTTGAAGAATTCAGTAGCCCATTCCCAATAATAGATAGAACTATCAGAGAGAAGATAAGAAAATAAAGTACTTAAACAACACAATAAACCAACAAGATCTAACAGAAACATCAGAACACCATACCCAATGACAACAGTATCATATTCTTATCAAGTATACATGGCTATTGGATAGCCATGGATAGCACACATGGATATTTTCCAGGCTAGCTCCTATGTTAAGCCACAGATTAAGTCTCAATAGATTTTAAAAGATAAATATTATATGAAATGTCTTCTCTAACCACAACAGGATGAAGTTAAAAGTGAAAAACAGAAGAAAACCAGGAAATCCACAAATATTTGAAAATTAAACAATAAACTCTTAAACAACCAATGGATCAAAGAAGAAAACACAAGAGAAATTAGGAAATTAGAGATGAATGAAAATGAAAACACAACCTATAAAAATATATGAAATTCAGTGAAAGCAGTACTAAGGCAGAAATTTATAGCTATAAATGTTTATATTAAAAAACAAGAAAGATCTCAAATCATAAACCTAACTTTGTAAACTTAAGGAACTAGAAAAAGAACAAACTAAACCCAAAGCTAAGAGAAGGAAGTAAATAATTAAGAGTCGAGCGGAGATAAATAAAATAGTGATGTGAAAAACAGTACATAAAGTCAATGAAACCAAAAGTTGTTTCTTTGAGAGGATCAAAAAAATTGACAAACTTTTAGCTACATGGACTAAGAAAAAAAGAGGAAAGATGCAAAAAAAGATGAAAGATGCAAGTTGGGCATTGGGATTATTATGAACAGTTTTACACCAACAAACGGAATAACTTAGATGAAATAGACAAATTCCTAAAAACACAAAACCTTCCAAGACTAAATCAAAGGAATAGAACATTAGAATAGACCTGTAACTAACAGAGAGATGGAATCAGTAATCAAAAATCTATCAAAAAATAAGAGCCCTGTATTGATGGCTTCACTGTCGAATTCTACCAAACATTTTGAAAATAACAAACACCAATCCTTCTCAAACTTTCACAAAAAACTGAAGAGTAGGGAACACTTTCTAACTCATTCTATGAGACCAGCACTACCCTGATACCAATACCACACAAAGACACTATGCTAAAACTACAAACCAATATCCCTTCTAAACTTTACTGCAAAAATTCTCAACAAAATACTAACAAACCAAATTCAGCTGCATATTAAAAGGATTATACACCATAACCAAGTGTGATGTATTCCTGGAATGCAGTGGCTTATTCCTGGAAGGAGTTTGTATGTGCAACATACAAAAAGAGATCAAAGTATACATCACATTAACAGAATTAAGGGGGGAAAAACACATGACCATCTCAATAAGTGCAGAAAAGGCATTTGACAAAATACCGTTTCCTGATTTAAGAAAACACTGGATAAACTAAGAATAGAGGAAACTACCTCAACATAATAAAATTCATGTTTGAAAAACCTACAGGAAACATCATACTCGATGAAAAACTGAAAGCTTTTTCTCTAAGCTGGGAATAAGGCAGGAATGCCTGCTTTCTCCACTTCTCCATTTCTGTTCAACATGGTATTGGAAGTTCTAGCCAGAGCAAATAGGTAAGAAAAAGAAAATGCATCAAAATTGGAAAAGATGAAGTAAAATGACCTCTATTCACAGATGCTATGATATTATATATAGAAATCTTAAATATTTCACAGAATAACTGTTAAAACTAATAAGTGAATTACAATATGGATGAACCTTGAGGACATTATGCTAAGTGAAATAAGCCAGTAACAAAAAAAAAATACTTTGTGATTCCACTTATATATGTGCTTACAGTAGACAAAATCATAAAGACAAACAGAAGAATGGTGATTGTCAGGGCCTAGGGTAAAAGGGAAAGAAGTGATTAAATGGTTAGAATTTCAGTTTTTTTTTTTTAGCTTCCTATCTTTATTTTTTAATTTTATTATTATTATACTTTAAGTTTTAGGGTACATGTGCACAATGTGCAGGTTTGTTACATATGTATACATGTGCCATGTTGGTGTGCGGCACCCATTAACTCATCATTTAACATTAGGTATACCTCCTAATGCTATCCCTCCCCCCTCCCCCCACCCCACAACAGTCCCCAGTGTGTGATGTTCCCCTTCCTGTGTCCATGTGTTCTCATTGTTCAATTCCCACCTATGAGTGAGAATATGCAGTGTTTGGTTTTTTGTCCTTGTGATAGTTTGCTGAGAATGATGGTTTCCAGTTTCATCCATGTCCCTACAAAGGACATGAACTCATCATTTTTTATGGCTGCATAGTATTCCATGGTGTATATGTGCCACATTTTCTTAATCCAGTCTATCGTTGTTGGACATTTGGGTTGGTTCCAAGTCTTTGCTATTGTGAATAGTGCCGCTATAAACATACATGTGCATGTGTCTTTATAGCAGCATGATTTATAGTCCTTTGGGTATATACCCAGTAATGGGATGGCTGGGTCAAATGGTATTTCTAGTTCTAGATCCCTGAGGAATCGCCACACTGACTTCCACAATGGTTGAACTAGTTTATAGTCCCATCAACAGTGTAAAAGTGTTCCTATTTCTCTACAGCCCCTCTAGCACCTGTTGTTTCCTGACTTTTTAATGATTGCCATTCTAACTGGTGTGAGATGGTATCTCATTGTGGTTTGGATTTGCATTTGTCTGATGGCCAGTGATGATGAGCATTTTTTCATGTGTGTTTTGGCGGCATAAATGTCTTCTTTTGAGAAGTGTCTGTTCATATCCTTTGCCCACTTTTTGATGGGGTTGTTTGTTTTTTTCTTGTAAATTTGTTTGAGTTCATTGTAGATTCTGGATATTAGCCCTTTGTCAGATGAGTAGGTTGCAAAAATTTTCTCCCATTTTGTAGGTTGCCTGTTCACTCTGATGGTAGTTTCTTTTGCTGTGCAGAAGCTCTTTAGTTTAATCAGATCGCATTTGTCAATTTTGGCTTTTGTTGCCATTGCTTCTGGTGTTTTAGACATGAAGTCCTTGCCCATGCCTATGTCCTGAATGGTATTTTCTAGGTTTTCTTCTAGGGTTTTTATGGTTTTAGGTCTAACATTTAAGTCTTTAATCCATCTTGAATTAATTTTTGCATAAGGTGTAAGGAAGGGATCCAGTTTCAGCTTTCTCCATATGGCTAGCCAGTTTTCCCAGCACCATTTATTAAATAGGGAATCCTTTCCCCATTGCTGTTTTTCTCAGGTTTGTCAAAGATCAGATAGTTGTAGATACGCGGCATTATTTCTGAGGGCTCTGTTCTGTTCCATTGGTCTATATGTCTGTTTTGGTACCAGTACCATGCTGTTTTGGTTACTGTAGCCTTGTAGTATAGTTTGAAGTCAGGTAGCGTGATGCCTCCAGCTTTGTTCTTTTGGCTTAGGATTGACTTGGCAATGCGGGCTCTTTTTTGGTTCCATATGAACTTTAAAGTAGTTTTTTCCAATTCTGTGAAGAAAGTCATTGGTAGTTTGATGGGGATGGCATTGAACTGTAAATTACCGTGGGCAGTATGGCCATTTTCACAATATTGATTAGGAAGAATCAATATCGTGAGAATTTCAGTTTTACAAGATGAAAAGAGTGTGGAGATGGATGGTAATGATGGTTGCAGAACATTACAAATGTATTTAACACCACTGAACTGTACGCTAAAAAAGGTTAAAATGGTAAATTTTATGTTATGTGCATTTCAACACAGTAGAAAACATGGAAAAAATAACTAATGGTCCTAAAATGTGTTTGGAAATGAACATTTTCAATAATGTACATATATAAGTAAATAAATGTATAAGTATATACATGTTATATAAATATACATATTAACTTATATTTTATATATCTAAAATGTAAAAAAAGATAAAAATAAACCTGACAAATTCTTATGTTATAAACATAAATTCTACATTTGGCTTAAGAAAACAAAAGTAGTATAATTTTCTTGCCTTGAGTAGAGAGGTCTCAAAAGATAATATTTTATAGTTTACTGACAAAAAATATAGAGCAAGGTATCCTTTTGCAAGTTAAAATTAATCATTGAATTTGTCACTAATGAAAATATAAACTGTGTGCATAGCATCAACTGTATTAATCATTAAATTTATCACTAATCAAAATTGGAATAGTCATAAAAATATAATACAGAAAAATAAAAAATAATGGGAAAAAAGAAAGAACTAAGAAGAAAACAAAAAGTAGAGAAAACATAAGCAAGTAAATAGGATAAGACACAAAAAGAAAATAAATGAAACAGAAGACAGAAACAAAGATAATTGCACTAGGAAAAATACTGATTTGAAATGTCAACTTTATCACAGACTAAACTTCTATATAGTAAGGTTTATGTGCATACTCTTCTGTTGACACTACAAATTTATATTATTATATCTTTGGTATTTTTTTGAAAAGTCATTTCTCAACAACAGCAAAAAAAGTTTTTTAAGATTTTGAAATTAAATGAAGACAAATATTTTATTCAACATAGTACTGGAAGTCCTAGCCAGAGCAATCAGGCAAGAGAAAGAAAGATAGCCATCCAAATAGGAAAAAAGGAAGTCGAGCTATCCCTGTTTGCAAGCTATGTGATTCTTTACCTAGAAACCCCATAGTCTCTGCCCAAAAGCTCCTTGATCTGAAAAACAACCTCAGCAAAGTTTTAGGATATAAAACCAATATACAAAAAATCAGGAGCATTCCTGTACACCAACAACATCCAAGCTGAGAGCCAAATCAAGAACACAATCCCATTCACAACAGCCACAAAAAGAATAAAATAGCTAGAAACACAGCTAACCTGGGAGGTAAAAGATCTCTACAACAAGAATTACAAAACACTACTCAGAGAAATCAGAGATGACACAAACAAATGGAAAAACACTTCATGCTCATGGAAAGAATTAATATTGTTAAAATAGCCATATTGCCTAAAGCAATTTACAGATTCAATGTTATTTCTATCAAACTACCAATCACATTCTTCACAGAATTAGAAAACTATTATTTTAAAATTCATATGGAGGCCAGCTTACACCTGTAATCCCAGCACCTTGGGAGGCCAGGGTGGGAGGATCACTTGACTCCAGAAGTTCAAGACCGGCCTGGGAAACATGGCAAAACCTCATCTCTACAAAAAATACAAAAATCAACTAGGCATGTTGGTGTGCACCTGTAGTCCTGGCTACCTGGGAGGCTGAGGTGGGAGGATCACCTGAGCCCAGGGAGGTCAAGGCTACAGTGTGCTGTGATCATACCCCTGCACTTCAGCCTGAGTGACAGAGTAAGATCCTATCACACATATACACAAAAACAAAATTCATATGGAACTATAAAAGAGCCTGAATAACCAAGATAATCCTAAGCAAAAAGAACAAAGCTGAAGGCATCACTCTACCTGACTTCAAACTTTACTACAAGGCTGCAGTAACCAAAACAGCATGGTGCTGGTACAAAAATAGACACACAGACCAATGGAACAGCATAGAGATCTCAGAAATAAGACCGCACACCTACAACCATCTGATCTTTGGCAAACCTGACAAAAACAAGCAACAGATAAAGAATTCCCTATTTAATAAATGGTGCTGGGAGAAGTGACTAGCCATATGCAGAAAAGTGAAACTGGGCCACTTCCTCACACCTTATACAAAAATTGACTCAAGATGGATTAAAGGCTTAAATGTAAAACCCAAAACTAAAAACTCTAGAAGAAAATCTAACCAATGTCATTCAGGACATGGGCATGGACAAAGATTCATTAAAATGTCAAAAACAATTGCAACAAAAACGAAAATTGACAATCGGGATCTAAATAAACTAAAGAGCTTCCTTCACAGCAAAAGAAACTATCATCAGAGTGAACAGACAACCTACAGAATGGGAGAAAATTTTTACAATCTATCCATCTGACAAAGGTCTAATATTCAGAGTCTACAAGGAACTCAAACAAATTTAGAAGAAAAAAACAACTCCCTTAAAAAGTGAGCAAAGGACATGAACAGACACTTCTCAAAAGAAGACATTTATGCAGGCCACAAACATATGAAAAAGAGCTCAACATCACTGATCAGTAGAGAAATGTAAATCAAAACCACAACGAGATACCATCTCACGCCAGTCAGAATGGTGATCATTAAAAACGCTGGGCGTGGGCACGGTGGCTCACGCCTGTAATCCCAGCACTTGTCAAGATCATGCCACTGCACTCCAGCCTGGGTGACAAACCAAGACTCCAACTCAAAAAAAAAAAAGAAAAAAAATGTCAAGAAACAACAGATGCTAGTGAGGCTGTGGAGAAATAGGAATGCTTTTACACTGTTGGTGGGAATGTAAATTAGTTCAACCACTGTGAAAGACAATGTGGTGATTTCTCAAAGACCTAGAACCAGAAATACCATTTGACCCAGCAATCCCAGTACTGGGTATATACCCAAAGGAATATAAATCATTCTTTTATAAAGATACATTCACACATGTGTTCATTGCAGCACTATTCACAATGTCAAAGACTTGGAACCAACCCAAATGCCCATCAATGAGAGATTGGATTAAAAAAAAAATGTGGTATGTATACACCATGGAATACTATGCAGCCATAAAAAGGAATGAGATTATGTCCTTTGCAGGGACTTGGATGGAGCTGAAAGCTATTTTCCTCAGCAAACTAACACAAGAACAGAAAACCAAACACCACATGCTCTTACTTGTAAGTGGGAGCTGAACAATAAGAACACATGGACATGGGCCGGCGGGGAAACACACACTGGGGCCTGCCGTGGGGTTGGGGGCAGGGAGAGGGAGAGCATCAGGAAAAATAATAAATGCATGCGGGGCTTAGTACCCAGGTAATGGGTTGATAGGTACAGCAAACCACCATGGCACATGTTTACCTATGTAACAAACCTGCAGATCCTGCACATGTATCCCAGAACTTAAAAATAAAATAAAAATACCGAATGGTTAAAAAGAGAGAGAAAAAAACAAACATTTCTAACAAAACAAGAAAGTGATTAATACAACATACCACATGCATAAATGAAATACTGTATTTCACATCTATTAAAATTCAGTTTTCCACAAATTTAAAACACAATGAGATATACATTTAAAAAACCAGGATACATATAGAATATGTATATATTTTGTACATATTAATGGTTCTCTCTAGAAATGAGATTTATAACTGATATCATTTTAAACATTTCTGTTACTATTTTCTACATGTCTATATTGCTTTTAAAATCAGAAAAAAATAGACTTTTTATCTGATGTAAAACTAAAATTATGAATTCAGCATCCAAATGACTGCACCCTGTGACTGAGTCCATGTGAGATTCATTACCCCAATGTGACAGCTAACTTTTCATCAAACCCACTTGTGAATAAGCCTCCATGACTTCCTCTATTGCGTTCCACACAATTGAGCACTTGATGATATGCTGCTTTGTGTGCTATTTGAGGCTTTTTACTATCAATGCATGTGTGTTAGTATTACTGAATTCAGTAAACGTTTACAAAGCACCATTCTGTTGCTGACTCTGTTATGCTACTATGTTCATTTGTTTTGTATTTAACTATCACAACTTTAATATACTCATAAGATTCGATAATTTTTAAAGATGTTAAAAGGTAAAGTGACTTGCTCAAACCCAGAGTGGCAGAATTGAAATTTCATCATAGGCCTCCTATTTCCAGGCCTGAATAGTTGTTCCATGAAAAAGAGTTTGCACTCTGAGAGAATGAGCATTACACCTTTTACTTAGTCCTCTCACCTAAGGTGACCAGAACGCTTCACATAGTGTTCTGTAGGTTAATTTCCTAATGGATATTACCATACGGAAGTAGTGTAATGATCCTCTACTTTCCAATCTGTGCATAAAACTGAGCAGTGCTTATCAAATCCTGGATTTGTGCTGCTTTGCTGAGACAGTGAGACAGCCATTCAGAGACTTATCCCAAAAATTTGCCAGTGTGCTGAATGAATGGCAGATGCAAATGGAGGTGCGGACTGATAGATGAAAGCAGGCACCACATTGGGCAGGGCAGGCAGGAAGCTGATTTTATTAGGGAAATTTACAAGCAGAAACTGTGTAAGAAGAGGCACACAGTTCTCCCATGTTGTGGGCAACCCATGGAGAGGTATGTGGGGGCTGAGACATACTGTGGGCTATGCTTCAAGAGGGGTTCCCCTACCCCCCTGAAACTCTACCATTTCATATAAGACAAACAAGCAAGCAAATAAAGAAATAATAATCTGAGTTGTCATGCCAGCCATTCCTGAGGGTTGCATGCCTGTGCTTATATCACTTGGAGGCCTTGAGAAGCAACAGACTATGTGCAGCCACCCAGGCAGAGAGAGGAAGTGTAGCCACCAGTTCCTTCTATAGCTTTGGCTGACTTTGCCTGACCAGGTATCTAGGATCATCCCCAGGGCAATGATCTCACTACGGAAGACTTAAGCCTTGATGTATTATGTGACATGTAATAATTTAATCTTTCTGTTCTTCCACCATAAAATGAGAAGGTTATATGAGCTGAAAGCCCACCATGGCATCCCAGCCTAGATTAATTGGGTGCCCCACCAGTGTGCTCTGTCACCCTTTCTGACACTCCTATCATGGAAACATGCATACCTGTGTATTTGTCTGATTCCTCTTTCAAGAACACAAGACTTCCTTTGGGTTGCTCTAATTTTTTCACCAAGGCATCCCCAGCATCTAACACAAGCCAGTTATAGCGAATCAATTAATATGGAGTTATTAAAAATAAATTTTAATAAATAAATATTTAAAATATTTAATTATTTTAAAATTTATTTAAAAATAATACATTTCAAAATAAATTTAATGAACAAATTAGTAAATAAATAATAAATTAATTGTATTAAATAATTTAATAAACAAATTTTAATAAATTATTTATTTAAAATGTATAAGTAAATGGAGGGATCCCTTTCAGCTCTTATATTCATACTTCGATCACACTGGCAAAACAGGCTTCTGGTAGCTACAGGCAAAAGCATCTAAGCCAATTTAAGAAAAGATCCCTGGGTAACTGCATCCCTTAATCCTACTTACCTGACTGTACCTTCCCTTGCTCTTCAAAGTTCTCCCCACCTGAAGGCTTATCTAGTCCCAGGGTCAAGACTAAACTGAATTTAAACATGGTAGCCTAATATTCTGTTAGGCTGTAGCACAAGTCTACCCACTTTGCATCCTAAATCTTTACAGCTTCTTGTCACACCCAGTGCCCACAACCCAGTGAAGGCCACTGAGATCCCACGTGGTCTCTTGGGTTATCAATTTTCTGCTTCCTTATGCCCATTTGTAGGATCAAACTTCTATTGAGGTACATGATTTCTTCTTGCTCCTGCTGGTCTTTTCCTGTTTTCAACCCTGCCCAGTACCCTAAGACCAGCCTTCTTGATGTGACAGCTGTCCACTTGTGCAGTTATCCCTCTCCCCCATATCCATGTCCTCTCACATGAGCTTCCTCCACACCCACCTGTCAGAACACTGTTAACTTCTCTTAGAAACTTCTAAGGTGGGCTGTTGCCTAAATCATCCCTGAGCTTGGGATGTGCCTTTAAGACACTGGAAGCCCTGAGATGCTGGCCCAGCTTGTCTGCCTCTCTGTCCCCGCCAGACACTCATTAGGTTGGCTGCCCTGTGTTAACGGAAAGAGCCATCATGCCCACACCCAGGATAAGCCCCCTGGGCTTCCCTGGACTGCCCAAAATCAAGCGTGGTTTTGGGAATCTACCAATAGCTTTCATTTCCCTCCTGGTTTGTTTAATTCAATTTTAAATATTATTATAGTAGAAACTGAATGGATATTGTTTTGTTTGTCACGATGACAATATCAATTTATATGTTCATGTTTGAGATTTATTTCAAGACTCGGCTTAAAAGCTATTGTGTAGTCAAATAGTTTCTTAAATGATTCAAGTTTCACAAAATTTTGAATTTGATTAGTTTTCTGGACTGAAAACTTCTACAATGAGTGGAAAGTTTTCATAAATGTGACAGCCACTTTACTTTCAAGAAGCGATTTTCTGGCCTGTTTTTAATTCTGCAGTGACACCAGCTCCTTTTCAATAAATTAGTTGCTAGATATAATAGAAACAAATGTGCCATTATTTCTACAGTGAAGGAAAATATTTTGTAGTTCTGTACTTTGCCATGTTTCTTTCTGAGTAATCTCTTTTTCCTTCCCCTAAAGCATTTTGGACACTAAAGCTTAGCCATGGAGGTAATTTATCACAGATGGGGTGACCAACCATCCCAGTCTGCCCAGAACAGAAGGGTTTCCCAGGAGATAGGACTTCGTGATCTAAAACCAGGATGGTCCCAGGAAAACCAGGGTAGTTGGTCATCCTAAGTCCACAGGGCCTAGGAGGGGAGGTACAATAGGAACAACAGGCATCTGCTTGAAGAAAAGGAGATGAATGCAGCCCCTACAAGGAAAATAGGAAAAGTAGAAATTCCATCAGCAAGAATAGGAAGAGATTTAAAAGTGAGAATAAGAATTAGGACTATGCCAAGGTCTCTCATGATCTAGTATCCCAAACCCTAGAGTCTCTACTCTAAGAACTGGATTGAGGGAGTATTTAAGAACATAGAACCCCCAGAGAGTTGGGGGCAATAAAGTAGAAGAACTTGTGCCCTACCTCCTATTTGGTTCCTTGGGAGGAGAGCACCTTTCAAGTTAACTCTGGGCCAAGGTGGGGCAGCTGCATCAGAACAGAAATGGCAGTGTGGTGGGCAAGGTGAGGCCTGGAGATGGTACCCCATGTCAAGGCAGTGAGTGGAGGGCCCACGTAAGGGACTGGAGAGAGAACCTGTGTAAAACTTGGAAGCTGGATACTAAAAAAACCCAGAGGGGCTTACATCAGCAGTGGGGCAGAGAAGGTTGTCTGTAGCCATGCAGAGAGTATAGAGCTCAAATAAAAATAGTCACAGTCACCCAGAGACCAGAGATAAACCAGGTATCAGCAGGAGCCAGCAGAGAAGAACAGAAGTTGTACCAAGGGGCTGTCTCCCTCCTTACAGGCTGTCAGGCTTCTCTACGCACGCAATGTCAAATTGCAAAGGAGACTGGAAGATGAGGGGAGACTTTGGAGAAGAGAAATAGCCCCGATAAGGATACTGGCTATTAGACTGACTTGAAATTGATTGGACACCGTGTTCCCTTCAGGGATACGTTTTTTGGGGCCTAATTTTCCCAGCAGCAAACAGTAAGGATTCTGATGACCTTTCCCTTCCACTCCCAATTATAATAAAGGACAGTACTTTTTGTGCATATCTCAGTTACAATATAAAAAAAATTAAACCCTGCCACATTTTCATGGTGTTCAATTCTACCTTCTTTACTATTTATTGTTCTCTGAATTTGTTCCAAATATAGCCTTCAAATCAAGAAGTGATTTCTATTTTGCAACTGTGAGTTATTGAGATTGGAAAGATCATGCCATAAAAATAGTAACAACAAAGACCGTAAATATCAGAGTCATCATGAAATTGGAAGTCTTCCCCCTTTCAAAAGGAATCTTGGCATCTCTCTTGTAACTGGCATGCCTAACTCATAGCCATATTATCATTACCATTCTTCCTTGGCTAAAACAAGATTTTTCCTACAGCATATTTTCTTGCTTTCCTTTTTGCCCTACATCTTTGTTTCACGTATTTACAATATAGTACTTTAAAGACACCATAATTTTGGAAATATCAAAGCATTTACGTAAATTTTAAAGGAAAAAGATTTACAATAGCTGGACCATTCCATTGCTCAAATCTTGTAACATGGGAACTTATCAACTTAGCTTATACTTAGGCCAAAATGTACTATTGCCTTGGCAGGAAAATAGAATTTGCTTTTGACTAAGAATGGATTAAAGTCTTCATTCTAGAAAGTATGCTCACAATGGCACTCTGTTCAGAGTGAGGTCTGTGCAGGCGTGACTTGGCAGGATTTGGGAAGCATAATAATAGGAGACGTTGTAATTGGAGTCATTTTACTAAAAGTATAGAGGATAAATTTCTAATCTATTCAAGCAATTAAGATTGAATAAAATACAAAATCATCTTTCTCCAGAGGCATGGTTTCTATGAAAATAGCGACCTTTTGAGACTCATAAGTTATCCCAGTGTTAATTTCCTCCATCCTGCTGTCTCAGCTTAGCCATACCTTGGGGCTTGCATTCCTTCTCAACTAGACCTAATTTTATGCTCTGACAATTTCCCCAGAAATTTGCTTCCAACATAGCCAGGGTTGTACACGTAATTTCAAGTCCTGATGCCTAAATATTTTCTTTGACAAAGCATCAGCTCTGACTCTAGCACAGCCTTCTTCCTTTTGCAGTGTTAACCCCTGGGAAAGCATGTTGTCAAGCAACCTTGGTGAAAGCATCATAGACTCTATAGTGTGTCTCCACAAAGATCAAAGTGCCTGAGGAAAATATGATGGCATTAGCAGACAGCCAGGAACTCTGACTTCAGTAGGATTTGGTTAACAGTCTATAGAACAGAGGTTGGCACACTACAGCCCATGGGCTAAATCCAGCCTGCTGCCTGTTGTTGTAAATAAAGCTTTATTGGAGCACAGTCACTAATTTTGTTTTCAAATGAGAGTATTATTATAATATATATGTGTGCTTTCACACTACAATGGTCATGCTGAGTAGTTGCAACAATGACTGTATGACCAGCAAAGCCTAAAATGCTTACTATCTGGCCTTTTACAGAAAAAGTTTGACAACCTCCATCTAGAATCTGACTGGTGGACTTTTCCCCTTGAAATTACTAATCAACAAAGGACCGTCTTCCCACTGAAATTGTTATGACTTCAGAATCCTTCCCAGTGTAGACAGACACCAATATTCACTCCAAGTTGCCACCCTCGACCTAGAATTTTAAAACTCTAGAGTCATATGGGGCAACAGAAAGGAAAGCCCATTCCTCACAAGCTAGGTAATCTAAAGATTAAACGCAGGTTGTTCTCTCACTATCCATTATTCTATCTTTCTACAAAGTTAGGTATACTGTCTACCAGGGCTGGTATTCTAAACAAGATCACTGGGCTGGGAGAAACCACAATGGAGCATTTTGTTCTTCCTTCTATCTTAATCCATTCAGGCTGCTATAACATAATACCACAGACTGAGAAATGTATAAAGAACAGAAACTTATTTCTCACAGTTCTGGAGGCTGGGAAGTCCAAGATCAAGGCACCAGCAGATTCAGCAATTGGTGAGGGTTGGCTTCCCAGTTTATAGATGGCTATATCTTCACTTGGGAGAAGGGCAAGGAGCCTCTCTCAGGACCCTTTTATAAGGGCTCCTTATTCATGAGGGCTCCACCTCCACAACCTAATAACCTCTCAAAAGCCCTACCTCCTAATACTATCACATTGGAGATTAGGTTTCAATGTATGAATCTGGGGGGAACATAAACATTTGGTCCGTGGCACCTTCTATCTTCAAGTTTTCGTAGAACTTAGTAATCATACTACCAATAAGTGAACCAAACAATTTCAAAAAGTTGCGAAGAAATTTTGTAATCATTAGGAAAAGAAAAAGTTACCTTCCATGGCAACCTTAGACTATCTAATGAATCTCTATATTTGTTTTTTCTTTTCTTTTTTTTTTTTACTTTGAACCAATTTCATCACTCTCTGTCACTGTAGAAAGGTCATCATCCTCAGTACTTTCCCTCTTAATCAATTACCTTGCCACAAAGCCTTTTTGTTTTTTAAAAATTAGGCTGTGAGAAAATTTTCATACTGGTGCTTCCTAGCCAAGGAAAGAAAACATAATTGCATTTTTCCTTAACCACCCGCTTTTCTCTGAGCATATGCCCAGAAAAGCTACAGGGGAAGAATAATTTATACTCAAGTCTTAAAATGAGGATTCTTCAGCAGCTACTTTACTCTTCTCTAACTAAATGAGAAAGCACTTAACAAAAGCACTTTAAAGTGTCATAGAATACCCATGATACAAAAAAGAATTATTTATCCTCCACTTAAGTACCACATAATGAGATATTATTAATAAATGAAAATTGATCCACTTTGCGAATGACAAAGCTCAAATCTCTTTCCTACCAATGATGAGGTCTCTTTCTCAATACCAGCCCACAAAGGAAAAGCGATTTCACTTTAGATAGCTCCAGTAATGTAAATCAAAGGTTTTATGGCTATGCTGCTGGGCTTTCTAGTGATTTTGCTGGTATCAAATGATAAGCATCTGAATTAGCAAGCAATGAAGGTTATTAAAGGTCCCCACATTCCCAGCATACCTGCACAGTAAAATAATCACTGAGGAATAGATATTGCTCCATTAAACTTATTTTCCCAAAAATAATGTTAGCAATAGTTCACTTAGCATGAGTTACTCTTATTTCTTCATATTCTTTGTATTCTGTAATCCGCACTTTCAAACCTCAAGCTAAAGAATGCAAGCCTTACTTCTGCAGTAAATAGGACCAGAAAATGGCTAATTCTCGGAGACTTTGAGATTCCAAAACTTTAAGGTGTTTAAAAGTAAATTGGTATGGAAATTGAGATTTAGTTTTAGGCACCAAAATACCTCTTACATGCATAGTCACTGAATTGCCACTTTTTCATAGTTGAGTTCTCCACTTATTTTTTTTTTCATTTTCCTTATGAGGAGAGGAACAGAAAAGACAGCAAATCCCTATACCCATGCGAAAGGCTCTTAAAGTATCTGTGAAGTTTATTTTTACATTTTATCAGATGACCCAAACACTAGAGATACTATGCCTAAAATCCTGCCATCATGATAAGGCCATGCTGTCCTAAGGAAAGCAGAGAGTCATGCACCATTAATATGGGAAATCAAACAACAGGGATATGAAAGCTTGGATAGCTCAAATCTAAGAGTAAACTTGATAGATTATTCAGCATGAAGGTTAAATGATTTGTTGAAGGTCACAGAAGAGGCTACAAAGCAGGGACTGCATCACAATTTCTTAGGCATTTCTGTCTCCACTTTCTGGCATTTCCCAAAGACAGTCAATCCTATCTATAGTGTCTGGTAACTAATGACCACAGAAATCACCAACACTGGCAGGTGAATTCTACACTACAGCAAATTACTGTTCTACATTTGGCCAAAGAAAGTAAACTCTTCCAGGCCCTTCCAAACCTCCCTAGATCATTGGATGGGAAAATAACCTAGTTATTCCCATGCTTTCATTCTAGAATTGTATTGTAACATACAAACTCCCTAAACCTCCAAAAATTGGGCTTTTATGTTTAATTAAAGTTTGATTATTAAAATCTGAATTGTTTCATCCACTACCTGCCGTCAGTTTCCCACAGATTCCTTTTTTTACATTTTTAATCATTTTTGCTCTATTATGAACAGAGATGCTTATTGATGAAGATCCCGTCAAGTGGGCTGAGAAACAAATGCATTTTAAGGACAAATGACCTGAGGAAATAGAGAGTGAAATTTGAGATAGAAAAGCAAACTGAAGCAGGCATTAAAAACTCTCTCCGGCATCATCAAATTTTCCCTGTCTGTTGGATTATTCTTTTTGCCTGCTTATTTCTCTCCTCTTAATAACAAGCAAACAAAAATAGATCAAAATCCTTCCCCTGCCAGGCACAGCCATATTTCCTTGCAAAATTCTTCAAAAGAGTTTTCTGCATATGCCGTTTCACTGTCTCTAAGCCCTCTTCTCCCCACTCTCTTCAACCTACTTTTTAAAATCTTTTTTGTTTGTTTGTTTCAGGGGTACATGTGCAGGTTTGTTATATAGGTAAACTCATGTCATGGGATTTGGTGTACAGATAATTTTGTCACCTGGGTAATAAGCATAGTACCCGATAGGTATATTTTCTGATCCTCTCCCTCCTCCCACCCTCCACCCTCAAGTAGGCCCCAGTGTCTGTCGTTCCCCTACACATATCCATGTGTTCTCTTTGTTTAGCTCCTACTTACAAGTGAGAACACATGGTATTTGGTTTTCTGTTCCTGTGTTAGTTTGCTTAGGATAATGGCCTTCAGCTCCATCCATGTTGCTGCAAAGAACATGATCTTGTTCTTTTTCATGGCTGCATAATATTCCATGGTGTATATCATACCACATTTTCTTTATCCAGTCTACTGTTGACAGGAATTTAGGTTGATTCCATGTCTTTGTTATTGTAAATAGTACTGCAATGAACATGCAAATGAAACCACTTTTCTGTATAAAGGTCACCAGAACTCACCACCCTGCTAAATCCAATGGCCAATTCTCAGTCCCCCTTTTTTTTCTTTTTAGCTACCCTATTAACTTATCAGTCCCTTTTGTACTTGACTTCTCAGCAGCGTCTAATACAATTGAGTTCTTCCTCCTAGCACACTTTCTGCTCTAGGCTACCAGATCCCCACATTCTCTTGGGTTTTGCCCTAATTCCTTGGCCTCTCAGTCTCTTTCTCTTCAGCTAGTTGCCCTTCTTCACCCTGATCTCCCTAACCCTGGTACACCCCAGGCACTTCAGAGCCTCTTTTCTATCTTTAATCACTCCCTAGGCCATCTCAACTAGACTCACAACTGTAAATGCAATCAGTAGGTGTCAGCTCTCAAACTTATAACTCCAGCCCACATTTCAACTCCATATAAATTTCCCATAGATATCACAAGTTTAAAATATCCAAAACCAAACTTTTGGTCCTCCCCTACTTCTAAAAGCCTGCTCTGCATGCAGTCATCACCATTTCTGCCTGCTACATTCTTCCACTGTTGGGACCCAAACCCTGGGAGTCATGCTTGACTTCCATCTTTCTTGAGATGGAGTCTCACTCTGTTGCCAGGCCGGACTGCAGTGGTACCATTTCAGCTCACTGCAACCTCCACCTCACGTGTTCAAGCAATTCTCCTGCCTCAGCCTCCCAAGTAGCTGGGACTACAGGTGCATGCCACCACGCCTGGCTAATTTTTCTATTTTTAGTAGAGACAGGGTTTCACCATGTTGGCCAGGATGGTCTCAATCTCTTGACCTCGTGATCCACCTGCCTTAGCCTCCCAAAGTGCTGGGATTACAGGCATAAGCCACTGCGCCCATCCCCATCTTTCTCTTAAATTTTACATTCAGTCTGTCAAGAAATGCAATCCCTTCCACCATTCACACATGGCCAAAGTTAATCATAGTTCTCACCTTTTTGACACAATAGCATCCTAACTGGTCTCTCTTCTTCCTTACTTGCTCCCTAGCGGTCTATCTCACCATAGGTGCCCACTGAAGGGAGAGCAAAAAGCTAATGTTATTCTGATGGTGTACAAAGTTCCAAGAGCCTGCCTTTCCCCTACCCTTGGCCTTCCCTCCACTCCTTGCCATTAACTCTCAGAATTCCTGTCCTGTTGCTTTTTCCCATGCTCATTTCACTCCAGCCACTCAGGTCTCTCTGCTGTCCCCCAAGTGCCCCAGGAATGCTCCTGCCCTGGGGCCTTCGTACTGGCTATGCCCTCTGTCTAGAGCTCTCTTTACAGAGGTCAGCCTGACATGCTCCTTTCCCTTCCTTAATTTCTGCTCAGATGTCACCATCCTATGGAGGTCTTTTCTGAAAACCACATTCAAGATTACAACCACCCCATGTCAACAATTCAGTGTCCCTCATCCTGCTCTGTTCTTTTCCTTGACAATACTTACCAATTCCCAACTTTCCTTGACAATACTTATCAATTCCCAACATACCATTTAATTCACTTATTGATTACACTTATTGCTTATCATTGGCCTTCCTCCATTTCAATGCAAGCTCCATGAAGACAGGGATTTTTGTTGGTTTTGCTAAAGCATGCATCACAAATACCCAGGAGAGATTTGGCATGCAATTAATGCTCAATAAATGTGTTGAAAAATGAATGGTGAATCAGAAAAAAAAAAAAGAGCTAGAAAGAGAACTTGTGAATAGCAGAAATCACATTACGTAAAACAAAAGAAAATCAGCCTATTCTGATTTTTGACTATAGGTCTTGCCTTACAATGTTTTTCTTCTTTCTAGAACTTCTCTGTGATCTCATTGTACTTTCTCCTTCAAAATAACTAAACATTCACAGTACTCCCCTTGAGCATGGAGGTAAAAACACACACCTTTACTCTTTGGGGCTAATGAATATCTCTGGAGGGCAGGGGTTTCCTCTAATCCAGGAGTTTTCAACAAATAAGAGGTGGCACTCCAGCAAACTTGAACTCTTCCAGTAAGCAAATATGAAAACATTATTTTCTCATTGCTAGGTCAGGATTTTTTTCCCTTAACAATAAAACTTAACTGGCTTTCATGGTGTTAGGTTTGTGTCAA
Source organism: Homo sapiens (assembly GCF_000001405.40). Classification (NCBI taxonomy): domain Eukaryota; kingdom Metazoa; phylum Chordata; class Mammalia; order Primates; family Hominidae; genus Homo; species Homo sapiens. Next base: position 31,312,283 of record NC_000008.11, on the reverse strand, counting down.
AACTTAAAGTACTTGGAAGAAGTGAACTGATTACTCACATATAGAAAATGACAAATGGTAGCACAGAAAACTAGTTTCCTGGAATAATAACATAACTGGGTGTATTAAAGGCCAGAGGCATGAATCAATTGACTAAGCCAAATAATTCTCTTAACCTAAGTCACCCTTTCTATTGTTAAAGATCAGATAGCTCAAGATGTGCAATTACAAACCTAATGCTTTTTTAAACAAAGAAAACTGATCAATTTCTTCTTTTTTCTTTGTTGAACTGACAAGCATGACTCATTCAATTGAGATAAAGGCAAACATTAGGAAATTGACCCAAATAGTTTCTGAAGCAGCACTCTACTCTAAGTAAGGCAGCAAACCCACTTGAGACATTCAAAATTACATTGTACTTATCAGCCTGTCATACTAAGCATCGGATGAGAAAGATGAAGATGGCTAATAAAAAAGAATGAAAGGATGATGCCATACAAGAGTGAAAAAAATCAACTTATTTAAGAAAAGAAAGTTAAAGTCTTAAAGTCTTACTTTCTCCTGAGTTCTAACTATTGGTTTAACTATCTCAAAAGATTACAATTTTTTCATATGTCTATATTTATACTTCTGTAAAATGTCTGTATAGGTCTTTTACCCAATTTTCTACCAGATCATTTATCTTTTCTTACTGAATCATAGATAATATCTATATTTTATAAATATTAAAAAATAGTTATGTATCAATTCTCTTCTTCCAATTGATTACTTATATTTTCATCTGCATTACGTATCTTTAGATGGACAGAGATTCTTTGTTTTAACATGGTTAATTAACACGGTTATAGAAGAATTCTCCATGATCCCAGAGCAGGAAAAGGATTTTTTAAAGCAATATATAAAAAGAAAAAAAAATAAATGCTGTTCTTTTTATATATTGCTTTAAAAAGCCCTTTCCTGCTCTGGGATCATGGAGATATTCTCCTATATTTTCTTCTAAACATTTTAAGTATTTGTTTTTCACAGTTATGTCTTTGCTCTGTCTGGGACTGATCTTTGTATATGGCAGTATATAGGAATCCTCATTGCTTTTTTCCTACAGTTAAGTCTCCCAGCAGCATTTATTGAATAGCTCTGCCATACATCAGGTTTTCAAATACACTTGGTTCTGTCTCTGGACTTTTATTCTGCCCCATCTATCTGTTCTATATCCTATACCAATACCACACCATTTTCATCAGTGTAGCTGTATACTAATTCTTGCTCTCTGGTAGACCAGTTCACCACCTCCATTGCCACATGCTTCATCTTCTCAAGGAGCATCTTGACTATTCATCAATCTTTGCTCTTTCATACAAACTTTAAAGTCAGCTTGTCAAATTCCACAAAATTCCGATTAGGATTTTGACTTAGTTGCTTTGAATCTATAGGTCAATTAGGGGAAAACTGACATCTTTATGATACTGACTCTACCTATCCATGAACATAATATATTGATTGATTCGGGTCTTCCATAATTCTTCCAACAAAATTGCACATCTGTCGTTAGAATTGTTCCTGGCATTTTACATTCTTGTTGCTGTTGTAAATGATACCAACATTTTCACTGAATTTTCTAACTCTTAATACTCTACATAAAATGGGATTCCATTTTTAAAATATTGATCATGTATTTAGATGGGCTATTTCTCAGCCTTTCTTGTAGTTAGGTGTAGCCGTATGTTGGAGTTCCGGAAAATGAATATGGATGGAAGTGAAAAAAGCCGCCTTCAGCCTATGTCATATAAACTCCCCATGTGATCTTTCATGCTTTCTTCCCCTGTCTACCAGCTAGTGTTTGATACTCAGCATGATCTTGGAAATTGTATATTGTGACCATCTGTTTTCCTGGGCCCCTAAATGGCCACAGTGCACAGAAGCCCTACATACCACCTATACACTCTCTTACCAATTAGGAACACTTGTGTTAAGCTATTTATTTAAACAAGAAATAAACCTAGAATGTTTTAAGCCATTGAAATTTAAAAATTTGTAACAATTATGTGGTTCAGATCTATTCTCTTACTGATTGTCTGCTTATCTTAACATTTACAAAGAGAGTATGTGAAAACCTCTCTAAGATTTTTTTTATTTCTCCTTATTTCGTGTAAATTTTTATTTTATATATTTCAAAACTATGTTAATAGGAACATTCAAGATTAGAATGTTAAAACTTCCTGATTATTTCAAACTTTTATCAATGGTGATTCTCTTCGTCTCTAGAAATGATTTATGCCTTAATATTTTACTTGGTCAGACATTAATACAGTCATGCCAGCTTTGGCAGAGGGATAATATTTAAATGGTATTTATTACCTTTTTCCATATTTGACCTACAATCTGTGTCTTTATGTTTTGGCTATGTTTTTCATAGATAGTAGACAAACCAGCTTTAGATGTTTCTATCAAGCTTAAGAGTTTTTGTCTTTTAAGAGTTTCATTTATATTACTCGTAATTACAAATAGCCCATCTTATTTTTTACTTTCTATTTGCCTTGTTTTCCACAACTCCTTCTTGCTTTCTTTTGGATAGACTGAGGGCTTTAATACCCTTTATCCTTGTTTTATTTTTTCTCTATACTTCTTTTGTAATTATTTCACCACATTTCTATTAGTTGCTCTGGAGATTTTAGTATTATTGATTAGATTTACAAAGTCCAAAGTTAATTAATATGAAACAAGACCAGAACCTTAGAACCTTTTTTACTCCACTCATCACCTTCTCAACTGTTGCCCAGGATTTTAGTTCTATTTTATTTGTTTAACCCCATCAAGCCTGATTTTTCTAAGAACTTATTCTAATAATTATTATTTTGTACAAGCTCTGCATAGATTAACTATCTTAAGCACTCATGTATTAGCATGAGCTCTTAAGTGAACATTTCATAAACCAAAGATGAACAAAAAGTAAATTAAGAAAAGAAGTGAAAAAATACAAAAATGATGTAGTATCAGATTGGCTCCCATTTCACAAATGGCTTTAAGAAGTAACCATCCTGTGGAATAGTGCATGGAAAAGGGGAAAAAGAGAAAATTTATATACTCAGCTGTTTCTGGTTTTTTGTTTTTGTTTTTTGTTTTTTGTTTATTTGAGATGAAGTTTCACTCTTGTCACCCAGGCTGGAGTGCAGTGGCACAATCTCGGCTCACTGCAACCTCCACCTCCCGGCTTCAAGCAATTCTTGTGCCTCAGCCTCCCGAGTAGCAGAGATTACAGGTGACCGCCATCATGCCCGGCTAATTTTCTGTATTTTTAATAGAGACCGTGTTTCGCCATGTTAGGCAGGCTGGTCTTAAACTTCTGACATCAGGTGATCCGCCTGGCTCCGCCTCCCAAAGTGCTGGGATTACAGGCGTGAGTCACCGCACCTGGCCATACTCAGCTGTTTTATGTCTCTTGTTTATAGTAGCTTAACTTTACCCTAATGGAAATTAATTCCCCCTGCACTTCCAAATTTCTCATCTGGCCCTAAGAGTAACACCTTAGGATGCAGATTCTACACCCTGTCATGCAGAATTTTATCCAAGTCTGGAAGTGGTGGAAATAGCCAAAGACACCAGGCATACAGCTGGTTATTCTGGTGGCACAACAGCATCCAAGAAGGGTAAGTCATTAGCTGTCTCCAAGCAGTGGAACTACACAAGCCAGAAAGAAATACATAGGATGTAGCAGCTGTGAATGTGTACCTAAGTTGTATTTATTTTCTAATCTACCTGGTCAAGTTTGATAGCATTGTTTCTCACATTATACTTCCATACAATCTTTTAATTTCATAAACATATTAAACACAGTTATTTTATGATTGTAATATCCACAATCATTGCATGTCTGTTTCTGTGGTCTTCTGTTTTGCTGATACAAGGATTTGTTCCCTATTTATTGTTTTTATCATAAATTTATGTTCCTTGGCACCCCTTTTGTGGAAATTCTTTGAGGTCTAGGCTGATGATAAATTTCTTCAAGCAGAATTTGTGTTTATTTCTTACAGGTGCATTAAACGCCAATAACCTGGGACCACTTTAAACTACATTTTCAACTTAGAGCTTTTGGGATCATACATATAGTGTGAATTCCAGCCTCATGCTCCCAGGGGATTTTTCTTTTTCTAGCTTGCCTAGAGCCAAAGCTAAAAAAGATATATTTATACATACCCACTATCTCCCTAGATGAAGTGAGTTTTGTTTTTCTGTTTTGTCAACTAACACTGCCACTTCTGGAAACACTGTGCTATGGGCAAAGAAGGAGTCTCCAATCAGACTTCATACCCTGATCCTGACCTTTTCCTTTTGTTTTCCACAGATATGGTTACTAAACACACATTCTAGACCACCCAGAATGAACAAATAACCTACAGCAAGTGCAAGCTCCAATGCTGGCTCAGCCATTTCAATTCATCTTTCTCCTGATTTCTTGCTTCAGATTAAATCTTTTACTTTCCTGACAGCATAGACATGCAAAAATGTTTTTTCCATATATCCATCATAAATTTTTATCAGAAAAGGGTTCTATGGACATCTAATTTGCTGCCATATAAATGGCATTTTAACTGATATGCCAGCCAAGATTCAAAATCTCAGGAAAAAATCTACAATTGACCTGGTTTGTGTGGCATGCCCACTCCTTGTTCAGAAGAAAGTGAGGTCCCTTAGTTAACAATTCTACCATATCCAATAAGGGGTAAATATTCAAAACAATATCAGCAGTTATTATGAGGAGAAGAGGAAATAGAGCCTGTTCAGTCAAAAAAAAAAAAGAGGAGGATGAAAGGCATTTCATTGGCTGTAATGATATTTATTAGTACATAATAAAATAAGTGCATTTTTTGAGTCAGAGAGACCTGGTAATGAAATCCTGGCTATAAGACTATCTATGTAACTACATTCATTTTCTATTGCTACCATAACAAATTTCACACTTAGTAGCTTAAAGCAACACAAATTTATTATATTAAAGTTCTGTAAGTCAGAAATGTAATTCATGTGTCTGAGCTAAATCCAAGGTGTCCACGGGGCTGCATTCATCTCTGGAAACCCTAGAGGACAAGCTGTTTCCAGGACTTTTTCAGCCTCTAGGGACAACCACATTGATTGGCTTATGGCCCTCTTCGTCTATTTTCAAAGCCAGCAATGTTGCATATTTCTGACCTCCTCCTCTCTTCACATCTCTCTATAACCACAGCTGGAAAAGTTTTTCACTTTTAAGGACTCATGTGATTAGATTGGGGCCACATGGATAAGCCAGGCTAATCTCTCCATTTTAAGATCCTTAACCTTAATCACATCATCAAAATCCTTTTTTCCATGTAAGTTAACATATTCATAGGTTCTGGAAATTAAGATGTAGACATCTTAGCAAAGACCTACAACAGTAACTTTAGCAGGGTTAAATAAATGTTTCCTAGTCTGTTTTCTCATCTGTAAAATGGAAGTAATTATACCAGTGCTCACAGAAGTGGGAATATCATGGGTGAATAGTAGTGGGCATTTCATAAATACTTATTAAATGAAAGAATAAATACGTACATTGTGTGCTTGTTGAGAGTATTAAATGAGATAATATTAGTAAAATATCTAAATACAGTGCTTAGAACATAGACTCACTCAAAAATCGCCTGTTCCTATTGTATATATGGCACCATTCTGGATGCTTTAAAGAAATAATCAAAGTGCATAGTCCATAAAGCTTTAGAATTTTAGAAAAATGATGTAAACATGAAAACTCACTGAAGACAGTTTGCAGTATTAACCAGCAAAATATTATTTTTAAAAGCACCCAACTACATAGAAACACATATAGACCAATGGAACAGAAAAGAGAGCCAAGAAATAAATCCACACATTTATGGTCAACTGATCTTCAACAAGGATGTCAGGAACACACAATGGAGAAAGGATCGTTTCTTCAATAAATGGTGTTGGAGAAACTGGACATTCACATGCCAAAGAATGAAAATGGACCTTTATCTTATACCGCACACAAAAGTCAACTCAAAAGGTATAAAAGACTTAAATGTAAGACCTGAAACTATGAAACTGCTAGAAGAAAACATAGGAGAAAAGCTTCTTGACATTGGTCTTGGCAAAGATTTTTTTGGCCATGACACCAAAGCACAGGCAACACAGCAAAAATAGACAAGTGGGATTCCATCAAACTAAAAAGCTTCTGCACAGCAAAAAAATAAAAAATAAAAAAATAAACTAAAAATAAATAAATAACAGAGTTAAAGGCAACTTAATGGGAGAAAGTATTTGCAGACCATATATCTGACAAGAGTTAATACTCAAAATATATAAGGAATTCATACAACTCAATAGCAAAAAAACAAAAAAAACTAATTTTAAAATGAGCAAAAGGTCTAACTAGACATTTTTCTGAAGAAGACATACAAATAGCCAGTAGTTACACAAAAAGCTGTATGGAGATTCTTCAAAAAATTAAAAATACAACTACCATATGATCCAGCAATTCCACTTCTGGGTGTGTAAGGATTCTTCAAAAAGTTCATGGGAAATGAATATTTTGAAAAAATTACGCAAGGATTTCAAAATTATTTTGCACCAAAATAAACTTGTACTAGCTCATTATAACATATCTGAACAGGATCTCATTTGAGACACTAAGAAGGATAATAATCAGTTTGAAAACAGCCCCTATGACAGCAACATGATTTCTGCTAAAATCTAACCAGAACAAACATCAAGTTTATGGTGAAGTTTTGGTGGGAGAATGGTAAAATCACTGCGGCTTTATGAAAAGTTTATGGGATCAATTCCCCAAAGAAATCAGCAGTTTACAAATGGGTACCTTGTTTTAAAAAGGGATTAATTGTTGTTGAAGTGAATGGTTGCTCTCAGCAAACCATCCACTTCAATTTTTGAGGAAAAAAATCATCCTGTTCATGCCTTAACTGAAGATGACTGATGATTAACAGTAGAAACAATAGCCAACACCAGAGACATCTCAACTGGTTCAGCTTACACAATTCTGACTGAAACATTTAAATTAAACTTTCCACTTAATGAGAGTCAAAACCAACTGTTGTACCCAGATCAGCTGCAGACAAGAGCAGACTTTCCAATGGAAATGTTAAACAAGTGGTGTCAACATTCTTAAACATTTATTTGAAAAGTTATAACAGTAAATGAACCACGGCTTTACTAGTACAATCTTGAAGGCAAAGCACAATCAAAGCAATGCTACCAAGAGGTAGATGTGGTCCAGCGAAAGCAAAAGGACCAGTCAAGAGCAAAGGTCATGGCAACAGTTTTTTGGGACGCTCAAAGCATTTTGCTGGTTGACTTTCCAGAGGGCCAAAGAATGGCAACACTTGCTTATTATGAGAGTGTTTTGAGAAAGTTAGCCAAAGTTTTAGCAGTAAAACACCCAGAAAGCTTCACCAGAGTCCTTCTCCACCATGGCAATGCTCCTGCTCATTCCTCTCATCAAACAAGGACAATTTTACAAGCATTTCTGTGAGAAATATTAGGCAGCTACCTTACAGTCCTGATTTAGCCAAAGTCCTTCTGAATTCTTTTGCTTCCTAATCTTAAAGCAAATCTATAAAAAGCACCTATTTTCTTTAGTTAATAATCTAAAAATCCACATTGACATGGTTTAATTCCCAGGACCCTCAGTTCTTTAGGGATGGACTAAACAGCTGGCATCATCGCTTACAAAAATGTCTTGAACTTGATAGTGTGTATGTTGAGAAAAAAGTTTACATTTTTATTTTTATCTCTTAGTTTCATTTTTCCATGAACTTTATGAAGTCCCCTCATATATCCAAAGGAAATTAAATCAGGATCTCAAAGAGATATCTATACCCCATGTTCATTGAAGCATTATTCACAATAACCAAAATATGGAAACAACCTAAATGCCAGTTGACAGATGAGTGGATAGAGAAAATGTGGTGTGCGTGCGTGTGTGTGTGTGTGTGTACACACAATATAATATTATTCTGCCTTTAAAAAGAATGAAATCCCACCATTTGTGACAACATGAACCTGGAGGATGTTATGCTAAGTGAAATAATCCAGACACAGAAAGACACTTCAGGATCTCACTTATATGTGGAATCTAAAATAGTCAAACTCACAGAAGCAGAGAGTAGAATGGTGGTTGCCAGGGACTGTGGAATGGGGAGATGTTGGTCAAACGGCATGCAATTTCAGTTATGCAAGATGAATGAGTTTTGGAGATCTAATGTACAGCATGGTGACTACAGTTAATAATACCGTATTGTATGCTGAAATTTGCAAAGAGGGTAGATTTTAAGTGTTCTCAATACACACACACACACACACACACACACACACAAAATGGTAACTATGTGAGGTGATGGATATCTTAATTAACTTGATTGTGATAATCATTTCACCATGTGTACACATATCAAAACATCGAGTTGTACACCTTAAATATATACAATTCTTGTCAATCATACCTCGATAAAGCTAAAAAAATAAATAAATAAATAAATAAATAAATAAATAAATAAATAAAGCACGCAGCTATGTGTTGAACTCCAGTTTAAACTAAACTAATGCTATTCATGCATAAATATGTTAGCATATGGCCAGGCACTGTGGCTCTCACCTGTAATCCCAGCACTTTGGGAGGCCCAGATGGGTTGATCACTTGAGGTCAGGGGTTTGAGACCAGCCTGGCCAACATAGTGAAACCCTAACTCTACTAAAAATATAAAAATTAGCTGGGCATGCTGGTGGATGCCTGTAATCCCAGCTATTTGAGAGGCTGAGGCAGGAGAATCGCTTGAATCCAGGAGGCGGAGGTTGCAGTGAGCCAAGATTGAACCAGGCCACTACACTCCAGCTGGAACAACAGAGCAAGACTCAGTCTCAAAACAAAGAAAAAACAATGTTAGCAACGAATTTGCTTTGGCTTATCTCATAAGGCAAAATACTAACAACTGAGCATGTCTCTCAGGTTCACCATCTGCCTAATGTTAATGTTAATGATACAAAGTCCCTTGCTTGAGACTAAATACTCTTTTTTCCATTGGGTTAAGCAACTGCCACAGATGAAAGAAAATTATCCTGGTAGGTTCCATTCTGACATCTCTCCAACCCTCTTGGCTACCGTATGCTTCTCTGAGCTTAAAAAACATCATGATATTAAACAGAATTATGTTCTCTATGACCAAATGAGAGCTTATTCCGAATGATCTCCCAGTGACTAGCTATCTTCCTAACTGTGGATTGATGCTATCTCTCAATCTATTCCAGAAAGCAAAATCATTGTTCCTTGACATAAATTTCAATGCGGTTTTGTTGATCTCCATTCACGTGGTATGATTGTTATCACTTGCCAATTCATTTAATTCTAAACATTCAAATATTCAAAACATTTCAGAGCACACTCTATGGACCAGAAACTCTCTTAAATACACCAGACAGGTTTTTGCTCTCAAAACAATGAAGTCTAATTGAGTATCCAGGTATATTTTTTATCTATAATATAAATCAGAGTGTGAAAAATTCTTAAACAACATATACTTTAAGATTAGAGAGAAGGTGGTGATTCTTAGTTTGTTTTTTAAAATTCCCATCATAATCATTCTATGTGCCACCCCGAGTTTGGATATTTCTAATCAAATAGCCTGGGAGTTTCAAGATGTATGAGTCAAACACAGGAGGAGATATGATATTTACAGTCTGTAAATAAATAAATGTATAATTAATTGTGCTAAGCAATTATTAAATTAAATAGAGCTATCTAGTAGAGTAAATGGCAAACCTATTTAATTTTAATTCTCTTTCCATTCATCTTAATTGTATAAGGTGTCATATATAGAAACATAGCTCTGTGATATTTCATCATCTGTTTCCTCATACACTTTCCCCATGGCCTCCTATAAGGTGGTGACAATTCCAGAGAATCAGATGTACCCTGACATTCTGAATTTTTTTCAATCTAGGTAAGGAAACAACAGCCCACTCTATCGGTCATGATAGTCTGGTTTATGCTATTGTAATAACCTCAAAATCACAGGCCCCAAAATCATAGAGGCTTACTTGGACACACCCTCATCATCTTCACTGAGGGGTGCAGGCTGATGAGGCCTCCCCCATCTGGAACATCGCCAATCAGTGGAACATGGCTTAAGACACTTGGAAATTCCCAGTTTTGTTCCAACAGACTTCTGCCAGAAAAGACTCTCAGCACTTCAGCTATCTTTCTATTGGCCACGTCGAATCACAGATCTATGTCTAACTTCAATGCCTGGAATGTGTCTGGAAGGCAGGCAGAATGATTGGTGAACATCCTTCATGACTATGGCCATTTTCCAGTTAGAATTAGCTTCCACATAGAGTTACGTACCCTCTCTCTGATGCTGTGCTTTTTACTCTTTCAACTATCTACATCCTTCAGAATCCTCATTTAAGATGCTCCTCTCCAAACACATTAAGACTTGACTTCCTAAGCTGCTAACCTCTAGAATGCTTCTGTACCTATTTAGACACCATAATTTATATATATATCATAATGTCTTATGCATAAATGCAGACTTGCTGTTCAGGTCAAATAAAATCCAAACAGTGTTGGCACTTAGTCATAAAGCTCCTATTATATTTAAGGAAAGCATTCATTGACAGTTTGACATATTATCATATTTTACTTCCTAATAGTATCAGCTAAGAATTCAGAGGACGTAGAGAGCAAGGGCACAGCCCTGTTGGAAACTGGAATTCAAGCTGAGCCAAAATGGACTTCCTGAATTCACAGGGTGAGTCTGCAACACAGTCTCCCAATCACTGAGCATTAAGATGATTTTTACATGTTTTTCTTCTAAAGAGAAGGTCAAAGCACTATCCTAAAGATTAAAACTACACTTCACCTCCAAAAAGCTAGTTTTTAAAATGATACAGAAGTAATTAACATGGTGATAACAGCATAAATAGACTTACTCAACTATGGGATCTAATACCACACATAGAAAGTGATAACCCTTCAGTAATTTTATGGAAGTTCTCAGGGATGATCAAGAATTTTACACAACACCGGGCGCGGTGGCTCACATGTGTAATCTCAGGACTTTGGAAGGCCAAGTCAGGCAGATCACTTGAGGCTAGGAGTTCAAGAACAGCCTGGCCAACATGAAATCCTATCTCTACTAAAAATACAAAAATTCTCGACTTGGTGGCAGGCACCTGTAGTCCCAGCTATTCAGGAGGCCAAAGTATGAGAATGGCTTGAACCCAGGAGGCAGAGTTTGCAGTGAGCTGAGATCATTCCACTGCACTTCATCCTGAGAGACAGAGTGAGATCTTGTCTCAAAAAAAAAAAGAATATTACATGAAGTATTCAAGGAGTTTTAACTCTCATATTCTGAACTCTCCCCTCCAAGAGATACATTCTTCTGTTTCCATTTATTTTGTTTCATTTCTTTTACTGCTAAAGATAGTTTGTGGGGGCTCTATTCAGGTGTAAACTAGCATAATTGTGCTATGGAAAACCCAAACTCGATGAAGATCAATGAATAACAGAGGAAGAATATTGCATACTGACCAAAAGTCAGTGTTAATGGAGCACAACATTTAACAATTGATGAAATACCTAGTACTTCCGCTTCTAATAGCTTTGTTTGTTTGTTTGATTGATTGATTGGGGGAAGGAAGGTTACACTTTCTTGGAAACTTAGATAAGCCTCACAGAAACAGCTGGGAATTTAGCACTGCTAGCAACACAACAAAATGGACACTCGAAAGCTAAAAGGCAAGTTGGGTCAGTTGGATGGAGACGCCCACCAGGAAGGTTGGGGATGGGGAAACAGGATGTTTCAGACAGAGAAATTAGCACATGCAAGGTAGCAGAAGTAACAGGATGAGTGAGCATTATATGTACAAGTATCTGAAAGAAGTTCAGGAAGGCCAATTGCAGAGAGATAAGAGGTAAGAGAGGGGTGTTGAGTTCAGACCTTGCACAGCTTTTTAAACTTTAGCCAAGAATTTAGACTTAATTCAAATTGCAAAGAAAACCTCTAAAGGATGTTAAGCAGAGACATGGCATGATTAGGATCCTTGTTATGTTGTTGCTTAATGTAAAAACAACACAAATTTAAAATAGTCATGCTCTAACTTGTTCCATTTTCATTAGGAGAAACTGATTGTGTCTGGAGTTGCATTTGAAATCCCATCTTGGCTTAAGAGGCACTTTTCCCCATCTACTGGGAGTCTGAGTGTATGCCATCCCATCAGGAGAGGAAAGCCATGATGCAGTTAACTTCACAATTGCACAACTTGCCACGTAACTGCCAATGCTCCCTTCACAGTATTCGTGTTGACCTAGTTTTAGCTGCACAGTTTATAACAGTGATAATTTCATTTGGTCTTCCCTCCACAACGTCAGTTTGTTTGCATTGCTTTTATTTCCTTGGTATTTTCTGTTCTGTTAGGATTTTTTAAGTTTAAATTGCTAACCATTGAATATCCTATGTGGAATCCAGTAGTAAGCATACTCTTAAAAGAACATAACCATTATAAAAGAAATTAACAAGAGCAGACACACAACTGTATGACAGTGATTAAGGCAGAGAAAATGATTTACTTGTATATGCTAAGGTAACCAATGTTATCCTGATGTTAACTATTAAAATCATCAACTGTTGGATCCATTTAACAAAATTTGTCATTCTAGTATAAAATGAGTGCCCATTTGGGGTTTTAGTGATGCATAGAAATATCTGTCATTTTTAAATAACGGTAATTACATCTTTTTATTTTCTAGATTATGCACACTGCTTTCGGGAAATTTTATCAGGCAGATGGTAAAAGATGTTCCTTTGCCAGGATTTCCCAGTGGCCACACTGTTGACATGATTCGGGCCAGATCATTGTTGTGGGGCTTTCCTGTGCACTGGAGAATGTTTAGCAGCATCCCAGGTCTCTACCCACGAGATGCCAGTAGCACCTTGCCCTAGTCATGACAATCAGAAATGCCTTCAGATCTTGCCTAATAGCCCCAGTTTTCTGAGAACCACTGCCCCAAACCAGCTCAGTGACTGATGCAGTAGCTACAATAGGTGGCTTTACTGCAGGAGTGGCTGCAGGAATGGAGCTGAGTCAGGTACACTGAGGAGTATTTTGGAGGAAGGGACATCTGGATCGGTGACTGATAGGATGTGGGAGATACTAGAGAAAAGGAAATGAGGTTGACGGTGAGGTTTATACCATGAGCAACTGCATGGTGCCATCTACTGAGCTAAAAGAATAAGAGGAGAAGTAGGATGGCAGATATCAAAATCATGAATGTAATTTATTCATGTTGATTTCAGATATCCAAGGCATACCAAAATCAAGAATTTTGTTAATAATGCAAACGTTTGGGACAATTTTTTTGTTGTTTATCGACTTTTTATTTTTGTTGTCTATTTAACAGCAAGTACTTTATTCTAGATAGATGGCAATTTTTAAATTTATATTAGGAAACAACCATGCCACGAGCAAATGTTTTTGTCAGGGCTCTTTTAAATGTATAAATGGGCCAGGTGTGGTGGCTCATGCCTGTAATCCCAGCACTTTGGGAGGCAGAGGTGGGCGGATCACCTGAGGTCAGGAGTTCAAGACCAGCCTGGCCAACATGGCAAAACCCCATCTCTACTAAAAATACAAAAATTAGCCAAGCATGGTGGTGGGCACCTGTAATCCTAGCTCTTTGGGAGGCTGAGGCAGGAGAATTGCTTGAACCCAGGAGGTGAAGGTTGCAGTGAGCCGAGATCATGCCATTGCACTCCAGCCTGGGCAAGAAGAGCGAAACTCTGTCACCAAAAAAAAAAAAAAAAAAGTATAAATGAACACTAGTATCTTTTTTCTTTTTATTCTGAATGAATTTCAAACTTACAGAAATATTGCAAGAATAGTGCAAAGAATTCCCGTGTACCCTTTACCCAGATCACCAGTACTGAATATTTTGCTAAATGTGACTTTTTGTTTTTGAAAAAATGTCAGACTTACAGAAAAATTTCAGGAATAGTACAGAGAATTCTTGTTTACTTGTCTGTAGTTTCCCTCAATCTTATGAGTTTACTTGCTTTATCCTTTTCTCTATTAATGTGCATATTTTTTTCTGAGACATTTGTAAGTAAGTTACAGGCATGATGTTCCTTTACTCCTAAATGAACCATGTGTATTTTCTAAAAGCAAACTCAGTTATAAAAGTCAGGAAATTAACATGGTTGTTGTTATAATACTATCATCTTATCTATAGACCTTACTCTAATTTTTGCCCATTCTTTTAATTTTGTCCTTTATAGCCAAAGAAGATTAAATTTAGATCCAGGATCCAGTTTGGGAACTGCATTTTCTTCTCATGCCTGATCTTGGTGTCTTTAAGTATACATCATTTTGTTTGTTTGTTTGTTTGTTTGTTTTTTACTTTTATTTTAGGTTCAAAGGTACACGTTCAGATTTGTTATACTGGTAAACTCATGTCACGGGAATTTGGTGTACAGATTATTTCATCACCCAGGTACTAAGCCTATGCCCAATAGTTATTTTTTCTGATCCTCTCCCTCCTCCCACCCTCCATCCTTAAGTAGGCCCCAGTGTGTGTTGTTCCCCTCTGTGTCCATGATTTCTCATCATTTAGCTCCCACTTATAAGTGAGAACATGTGGTATTTGGCTTTCTGTTCCTGAGTTAGTTTGCTAAGGATAGTGGCCTCCAGCTCCAACCATGTTTCTGCAAAAGACATGATGTCGTTCTTTGTTATGGTGTATATGTACCATATACATATCCATATAGCCGGGCATGGGGGCACAGCAGTCTGTGGTTCTAGCTACTCAAGAGGCTGAGGCAGAAGAATCGCTTGAACCTGGAAGGCGGAGGTTGCAGTGAACTGAGATTGTGCCACTGCACTCCAGCCTAGGTGACAAAAGCGAAACTCTGTCTCCAAAAAAAAGAAGAAGAAGAAAAGGGAAAGAAAAAAGAAAACACAGTGTCTTCCTTCTCAATGCCAGCTTCCTGGGTGCTGCTGTTGTCACAGCATCCCAACTCCTTAATTTTCTCACAGTCTACCTGAATGCCAGTGTATGTTCCCACAAGAGAGCAATCAAGTTGTATTTGTAAAAAGCCAGGGAGGGAGGGCATTGTTCTTTATGTCCCTAAGCCTTCATCCTTCCACCCTCAGATTTCTTTTCTTTATCCAACTGGGATATTTTCTTTATCCAACTGGGACAATAATTTTAATGTCCAATTTTACTGTCATGATTCCTAATCTATTTGCTAGGACTTGCTTACTCAGATTCTATCTCTAGATTTCCTCCTCCATCAACTCTGCAACTGTGAACATGACTGAGAATTTCATTTTCAGCCCTTTTCTCCATATGCTTTTTTCCAACCTTAGATCTCAAATATCATTACCATGCATAACATTATAACCCCTCTATTAATGAATATTATAACATTAATTCTTTATGTAAAAAAATTGCTAAAACATCATGCACTTGAAAATCTAAATCTTTCTGAATTTTCTTCAAGTTATATCCACAAACTAGAATTCCCTTTCCTCTTCCTCTTCCTCTTCCTCTTCCTTCCAGGTGGTGAAACCCATTTATCTTCTTCAGATCTAATTCAAATGCCACATTCCCTGTGGAGTTCACTATCCTATCTGTGAGAAATTAGTAACTCCTTCCACTGTTCTCTGGCAGCCCTGACATAGGCCCTTCCATCACAGCACCTAACACCATCAGAGCTAGAGTAAAACAACTTTGTATATAGCATGCCTAGTAAATTATGAGCATCTTGAGGGATAGAAACTGACTTGTTCATCTTCATAAGTGTCCCATGAGGCCTGGAAAATTATCTGAATGTATATGCTTTTAATAGATATTTGTTAAATTAAAATAAGGGAATAGATAAGCCTCTGGGGTAATCTGAACGGGTGACTTTGAAGAACTAGTGCTAGCTAGTAGAATAAGGGAAAAGCAGGGTTGTCAGGGTACCCAACTCATTAAATGACTGTTACCAAAACAGGTGTTTACTCCAACAGAGCATAAGACTCTATTAGAGTAAATTAACTAGTGGCCTAATTCACTGTTAAGAAGCTAAGAAGCCAAAAACAACTCTTCTAACTTTCCTCAATGGGTTACTGTATGTGACTGAGAAGCTTCAAAACAAACTGGCTGGGCACAGTGGCTCATGCCTGTAATCCCAACAATTTGGGAGGCCAAGGAGGGAGGATCGCTTGATGCCAGGAATTTGAGGCCAGCCTGGGCAACATAACAAGACCCTGTCTCTACAAAACACAAAAAATTAGCTGGGTGTGATGGTGCACTCCTGTAGTCCCAGTTACTTGCAAGGCTGAGGCGGGAGGATTGCTTGAACCCAGGAGTTCAAGGCTGCAGTGAGCTACAATCATGCCATTGCCCTCCAGCTTGGACAACAGAGCAAGATCCTATCTCAAAAATAAATACATACATAATAAAAACAAACAAAACTAAGGGCTGCAAAGAACTAAAAAACAAAGTGCTCCATCAAAGTTGCTCCCTACCCTAGCCTGAATATTTGTGCCCCCAAAATTCAGTTGAAATCCTAACCCCCTATGTAATGATACCACAAGGTAGGGCCTGGCCTCTAGGAGGTCATGAGGTTGGAGGCTTTATGAATAGGATTGGTTCCCTTCATGAAGGAGACCCCAAAATGCTCCCTGGCCTACTGTACCATGTTAGGACACAGAAAAGACAACAGTCTATAAACCAGGAAGCAGGCCCTCACTAGACAACTGAATCTGCTAGCGCCTTGATCTTGGACTTCCCAACCTCCAAAACTGTGAGAAATCAATTTCTGTGGTTTATGAGCCAAGCAGTCTGTGGTATTCTGATAGCAGTCCAAATGGACAAATATACTCCCCTAATGCAGAGGAGCACCATGATGAGGAAACAAATAAGACTTCATTCTCTACTGACCATCCTATTAGAAAATATATTGTTGGCCAGGTGCGGTTGCTCATGCCTACAATCCCAGCACTTTGGGAGGCCGAGGCAGGTGGATAGCCTGAGGTCAGGAGTTTGAGACCAGCCTGGCCAGTAGAGACTGGTGAAACCCCATCTCTACTAAAAGTACAAAAAATTAGCCGGGCATGGGGGCACAGCAGTCTGTGCTTCTAGCAACTCAGGAGGCTGAGGCAGAAGAATTGCTTTAACCCGGAAGGTGGAGATTGCAATGAACCAAGATTGTGCCATTGCACTCCAGCCTGGGCGACCAAAGCGAAACTCTGTCTCAAAAAAAAAAAAAAGAAAAGAAAAAGAAAATACAGTGTCTTCCTTCTCAGTGCCAGCTTCCTAGGTGCTGCTGCTGTCACAGGATCCCAACTCCTTGCTTAATTTTCTCACAGTCTACCTGAATGCCAGTGTATATTCCCACAAGAGAGCAATCAAGTTCTATTTGTAAAAAGCCGGGGAGGGAAGGCACTGTTCTTTATGTCCCTAAGCCTTCATCCTTCAACCCTCAGATAAAACTATTCAAGGGAAGAAAGTGAAAGGATCCACCCTGTGCTCTCAAGTGCAAAGTAATCACAGAAAAATACACTTACCTAAAGTTGCTGAATGACACAAGTCTGTTAGATGCTATTGCTTATTTTTAGGTGTTGCCACGATACATCTAAATACAAGCACAGTACCTTGCAAGAAGCTGTGATGTGGTAGAAAGAGCGGTGATCTCAGAAATGTAAGGTGAGTGGCTTCTGAATCACAGCTAAGATGAGAATCACACAGCCCATCTCACGTGGAAATGGGGTAACAGATGTGATGGCACCTTTTGGTCCTAGAGCCCAATCTAAATGTTAAGAATCACTACAACAACTTTTGTTGCCTTCCTGAAAATTAAATAGTAATCACAAAGTTGTGGTAGAGAAACAGACTATTTTATATTGGTCTTGTACCAGATAGAACGTCAAATTCCTGAACCTCTAGTAATTCCTAAATGTCAAAATCCTTAAACATGAAAAAAATGTACAGTGTATGAATTCAATAAGTGTATCAATTGCAATTACATTTATTTGAAAAAAAAACCAACCTATCATATTGGTAAGTAGAATATACTTTCTGTCCTTTTGGGGCCCCTGGGGGTTGTTAATTTTCTGAAAAATTGAAGGATGCATACTTATTTTATCAATTAAAAAATATGAAATCACATAAGTATGGTAGTTCTTGCTTTTTTTTTTTTTTCTTTTTTGAGACAGGTTCTCACCCTGTCGCCCAGTCTCAAGTGCAGTGACATGATCTTGGCTCACTGCAGCCTCAACCTCCTGGGCTCAAGTGATCCTCCCACCTCAGCCTTCTAAGTAGCTGAGAGTACAGGCACATAGCACCACACCCCACTAATTTTGTTTTTTTGTTGTTGTTTGTTTGTTTTTTTTGTTTGTTTTTTTTTTAGAGACAAGGTTTCACTCTGTTTCCCAGGATGGTCTTGAATTCCTGGGCTCAAGCGATCCTCCTGCCTTGGCTTCCCAAAGTGCTGGGATTATAGACGTGAGCCACTGTGCCCAGCCAATTCTTGCATTCTTAACAATAAATTAGGCCTCCTGATCTTTTTTATTCTAATAACATCCATTGCTAAGTATTACCAAAGATCAAGTTGAAAGGCAAGTCATGTTATTCAATAAATAGGAAGACCCGCTCCTACCTTATTCTGTTACTGGCAATTGCATCTGCCTATTACATAATCATATCACCTGGCACACACTAAGCACAAATCATTTGTCAGAAACGATTTGAAGTTTTCCACACATATTAACTCATTTGTATTTTATGTACTAACTGTGAACAGTTTTCTATTTTAACTAACTTGGAATAATTTTCTTTTTATGACTTTATATTTTGTCTACAATTTTGCCATCCTGAGAGCGAATGAGAAATGTTTTCACCTACCATCAAAAGGGAGTTCCATTCAGCAAAGGAGACAGTCAGCAGAGTAATAAGGCAACCTTCCAAATGGAGGAAAATATTTGCAAACCACATATCTGATAAGGGGTTGATTTCCAAAATATATAAGGAATTCCTAAAACTCAATAGCAAAAATAATAATAATAAATTTAAAAATGGGCAAAGGATTTGAATAGACATTTCTCCAAAGAAGACATGCAAATGACCAAAAGGTATATGAAAGATGCTCAACATTGCTAATTATCAGGGAAATCTAAGTTAAAATGACAATGAGGGCCAGGCACAGTGGCTCATGCCTGTAATCCCAGCACTTCGGGAGACCAAGGCAGGCAGATCACCTGAGGTCAGGAGTTCGAGACAAGCCTAGCTAACATGGTGAAACCTTGTTTCTACTAAAAATACAAAAATTAGCCAGGTACAGTGGTGCATGCCTGAAGTCCCAGCTACTTGATAGTCTGAGGAAGGAGAACCGCTTGAATCTGGGAGGTGGAGGCTGCAGTGAGCTGAGATCATGCCACTGTACTCCAGCCTGGGTGACAGAGCAAGACCCCATCTCGAAAAAAAAAAAAAAGACAATGAGATATTACCTCATATCTCTTAGGATGGTTATTATCAAAAATAATAATAATAAGTGTTGGTGAGGTGGCAGAGAAATTGGAACCCTTGTACACTGTTGGGTGGAATATAAAATGGTGCAGCCACTATCAAAAACAGTGTGAAGGATGCTCAAATAACTAAAAACAGAACTACTATACTATCCAGCAATCCCATTTCGGGGTATATCCAAAACAATTGAAATCAGGATCTCAAAAAGATACCTACATTCCCATGCTTATTGCAACATTATTCACAATAGCCAAGATTTGAGGGATGAATAGATAAAGAAAATGTGGTATATCCATACAATGGAATATTATTCAGCCTTATAAAAGGAAATCCTACCTCTGGTGACAACATGGATGGACCTAGAAGGGATTATTCTAAGGAAGTCAGTGATGGAAGGTTGAATACATGATTCCTCTTATAGGAGATATCTAATATCATCAAAGATAAAGAAGTAGACAGTAGAATCATGGAGATGGGGGAAGGGGATATGAGAAGCTGTCATTCAATGGGTATAAAATTACAGTTAGGCCACACATGTTGGCTCACGCCTGTAATCCCAACACTTCAGGAGGCCAAGGCAGGAGATCACTTGAGCCCAGGAATTGAGGACCAGCCTGAGCAACATATGGAGACTTTATCTCTACAAAAAAAATTTTAACTTGTCAGGCATGGTGGTGCACACCTATGGTCCCAAATACTTGGCAAGCTGAGGCAAGAAGAATACTTGAGCCCAGAAGATCCAGGCTGCATTGAGCTGTGTTGACACCACTGCACTACAGCTTGGGCAACAGAGTAAGACTCTGTCTCAAGAAACAAACAAATAAATAAAGTTACAGTTATACTGGATAAGTAAGTTCCTCAGATCTGCTGTATGACAAAGTACCTGTAGTTAACAATAAGGTATTGTGCACTTAAAATTTTGCTGGCTATCCATGTGCAGAAAATTGAAACTAGACCCCTTTCTCACACCTTATACAAAATTAACTCAAGATAGACTAAAGACTTACATGTAAAACCCAAAACTTTTTAAAAACCCTAGAAGAAAATCTAGGCAGTACCCTTCAGGACATAGTCATGGGCAAAGATTTTATGATGATATTGCCAAAAGCAATTGTAACAAAAGAAAAATTTACAATTGGGATCTAAGCAAACTAAAGAACTATTGTAAAGCAAAAGAAACTATCATCAGAGTGAACAGGCAACCTACAGAGTGGGAAAAAAAATTTTGCAATCTATCCATCTGACAAAGGTCTAATATCCAGAATCACAAGGAACTCAAACAAATTTACAAGAAAAA
The DNA here is from genome assembly GCF_000001405.40 of Homo sapiens. Lineage (NCBI taxonomy): Eukaryota > Metazoa > Chordata > Mammalia > Primates > Hominidae > Homo > Homo sapiens. The sequence continues at coordinate 31,291,458 of NC_000008.11, read as the reverse complement.
AACAACACCATCAAAAAGTGGGCAAAGGAGATGAACAGACACTTCTCAAAAGAAGACATTCATGCAGCCAACAAACATGAAAAAAAGTTCAACATCACTGATCATTAGAGAAATGCAAATCAAAACCACAGTGAGATACCATCTCATGCCAGTCAGAACAGCCATTATTAAAAAGTCAGGAAACAACAGATGCTGGTGAGGTTGTGGAGAAATAAGAACGCTTTTACACTATTGGTGGGAATGTAAATTAGTTCAACCATCGTGGAAGACAGCGTGGCAATTCCTCAGAGATCTAGAACCAGAAATACCATCTGACCCAGCAATTCCATTACTGGGTATACACCCAGGGGAATATAAGACATTCTATTACAAAGATACATGCACACATTATGTTCATTGCAGCACTATTCACAATAGCAAGGACATGGAATCAACTCAAATGCCTATCAATAATATACTGTGTAAAGAAAATGTGGTACATATACACCATGGAATACTATGAAGCCATAAAAAGGAATGAGATCATGTCCTTTGCAGGGACATGGATGAAGCTGAAAGCCATTATCTTCAGCAAACTAATGCAGGAACAGAAAACCAAACACCTCATGTTCTTACTTCTAAGTGGGAGCTGAACAATGAGAACACATGGACACAGGGAGGGGAAAAACACACACTGGGGCCTGTTGGGGGAAAGGGGAGTTGGGGGGAAAGTACTAGGAAAAATAGTTAATGCATGCTGGGCTTAATACCTAGGTGATGGGTTGATAGGTGCAGCAAACCACCATGGCACACGTTTACCTATGTAACAAACCTGCACATCCTGCACATGCACCCCAGAACTAAAAATAAAATAAAATAAAATTTTATTAAGAGCATAGAGCTCATGTTAAGTATTCTTACACACAAAAAAGGGAGGATTTACCAGGAAACTTTTGGAGGTGATAGATATGTTTATCACCTGGATTGTGGTGGTGGCAACATGAGTGTATACATAGTCCAAATTCACCAAATGGCATAATTAATTATGTGCAGTTTTTTAAATACCAGTTATACCTCAATAAAGCTGGAAAAAATAAAGTCACAAGGTAATGTATCAAAAGGTAATAGAATGTTAAGTGGCACTGACATTAATAAAAAGGGACCATTTGTTTGCAAAAGTAATAACACTTTTATCCAAAGCCATGGCCTAAGTAACCTAGCATGCATTCACTGCCTACTGGATTTTTTTCTGAACATGCTTGATTGCATGATTACAATTTAAAAATGGCAAATTGAGCATATGTCATTATCTGTGAATAAACTGTCAAGTTGGTTGACTGACAAAAAAGAGAGTTCCACCCCAGTACAGTGAAATGACATATATTTATGTCAAGAACTCTAAAGAACTCCAAGTTTATTTCAAGTTTTATCTATAAGAATAAAAAGAGGCTAGGCGTGGTGGCTCACACTTGTAATCCCAGCACTTTGGGAGGCCGAGGAGGGTGGATCACGAGGTCAGGAGTTTGAGACCAGCCCGGCTAAGATGGTAAAACCCCATCTCTACTAAAAATACAAAAATTAGCCGGGCATGGTGGCCGGTGCCTCTAATTTCAGCTACTCGGGAGGCTGAGGCAGGAGAATCGCTTGAACCCAGGAGGTGGAGGTTGCAGTGAGCCGAGATCGTGCCACTGCACTCTAACCTGAGCAACAGAGCAAGACTCTGTCTGAAAAAAAAATAATAAAATAAAAAATAAAAATAAAAAGAGTGGGTGGGCGCAGTGGCTCACACCTATAGTCCTAGCACTTTGGGAAGCCAAGGCAGGTGGATCAGGAGTTTGAGACCAGCCTGGCCAACAGGGTGAAACCCTGTCTCTACTAAAAATATAAAAATTAGCTGAGTGTTGTGGTGCATGCCTGTAATCCCAGCTACTCAGGAGGCTGAGGCATGAGAATCACTTGAACCCAAGAGGCAGAGGCTACATTGAGTGGAGATTGTGCCACTGCCCACTGCACTCCAGCCTGGGCAACAGAGCGAGACTGTGCCTTAATAAATTAATTAATTAAAAAGTGTAATTTATCCCCATTATAGTAAATAGGTTAGTCAATTGAGCTAAAAATATTATATAATTACTGAATTCAAATTTTCAAAGGAAAATTTAAGAATGGATATCTTTATATGAACAGACAAAAATATATACTACTTCTAATTAATGTTTCAAGATAGTAATCATTTTTTCTCCAAAAAATTGAAACTCTATAAGGAACTCTATCGCTAAAATTCCAAGTACATAATTTCCATCAGATATAATTGTCTAAGACATATCTCTACTGAGATTAATCAGAGAGACAAATTGAAAAGAAGTGGGCAAATGCAGATGGTTTAAAATATCCACCAAACCCAAGAAGCGAATTCTACACCCACATGAAAAACATCTCATTTCAAATACAAAACTGAAAAGCTCAGATCAGTGCATTTAAAGGACTCACCACACCTGCAGGCTTATGACAGTCACCTGCTCACTGCTTACTGGCTTCTGACCATCAATGACAAAGTGGGCAGAAGCATCCCAAAGCCCCACTTTCCCTCCCTGCAGGAAGGCTGCTGTAAAGAGGAAGCTGGAGATGTTTCTCGAAGCCAGGCAGCCAGTAACAAAGGCACGAAGCACTTGGCAAATGCTGTGCCTAGCAAGTTACATGTCATTATCTCAATTCTTTCAATGTCACCCATGAAATACTAGTTACAATCACTCTCTATATTTCACATTGGAGAAACACAGGCTTAGATGGGTCAAATACTTTATCAAAGGTCTCACAGTAAGGGACAAAGAACAAAATCAAATGCAAGTCTGTCTGATACCAAAGTCCACTTTCTTAACCACAACACTAGCCTAAATGTGATGGCCTCCACCATAGAAAATTATCACTTGAATATCAACTGCCTAATTCAGGCTACTCATACATCTTCTTTTGTAGAAGAGTGTATCTCACATTAAAGAGAATGACCCATCTTTTGAGACAATTATCTATCTTTTTTAAAAAGAAAAATATAAGTCTAAATCTAAAAATCTCTGTTGATTTTGAAGTGTGTATATTAAGGATAATGTTTCTTCCAAATATAAACTTTGGTTACTCTTATATGCTATAGAACTACTTATTTATTAAATTATTTAGTTATGATTTAAACTCATCAACAATATCCACATCTAATTAACAATTCTAAACAGCTCTATAGTAATAATCTTGCTAAATATTTGTATTGTTTTCCCCATGCTATTTTTTAAATTATCTTAATTTAGAGTTTTGAGTATCATACTAGAATATAGAAAACTAGGTAGCCCTCTTTAGCTCCATTACTTAATTCCTCCTAAAATATGAGGTACTTCAATTTAAATGTCCTGCACATTGAGAAACGTAACAGGCAACATAAGTAGAGTGTGTGTGTGTGTGTGTGTGTGTGTGTGTGTGTGTGTGTGTGTGAGAGAGAGAGAGAGATTAAATTCTAAATAATATTATTTTATTGTTAATTCAAGAACTTATGTGACCTTAATTTCCAAGGCAAAATAAATTTGCCTAAGTTCAGTGGGAAAAAAAGACACTTACTTGCTGATATGGTTTGGCTGTGTCCCCACCCAAATCTCATCTTGTAGTCCCATAACCCCCATGTGTCATGGGAGGGATCCAGTGGGAGGTAATTTAATCATGGAGGCAATTACCCTCATGCTATTCTCATGATAGTTAATTCTCACAAGAGCTGATGGCTTCATAAGGGGCCTTTCCCCTCTAGCTCAGCACTTCTCCTTGCTACCACCATGTGAAGAAGGAGGTGTTTGCTTTCCCTTCCACCATCATTTTAAGTTTCCTGAGGCCTCTCAGCCATGCTGAACTATAAGTCAATTAAACCTCTTTCGTTTGTAAATTATCCAGTCTCAGGTATGTCTTTAATAGCAGCATGAGAACAGACTAATAGACTTGCATACTTTGCTATTTGCATAGTTGATTTATTACCTACTTTAAGTTTTCCTCAAATGCTAAAATCCCTGGTCCTTCTTGTGACAGCATGATGCAAATTCCAGAGGTAGCCCATGCTGGCCACCAAATACAAACAGCAAGGATGTTTTGTGGGTGCAAGAAACCTGGTCTTGGTAATAGTCACAATCCAGAGTTTGACTTTAATTCTGATTACCGATGTCCTCATGAAGATGGTGGCGTTGGTCAACCATGACCTACCTACTTCCATGACTCTGGTTTTTCACCTCAGTGATGAGTTTCTCTACAAATCTTTTAGGTTTACATTCTAGAATTGGAAGAAATGACATGGATCATCTCTATATACCAAGCTGCTTATTTTATAAATGAAAAATTGAGATTGGGGGATATAATTTGCCAAAGGTCACTCTATTTATAGCTTCAATTTTTGGTGCTAAGATTGCTAGAATAACATGAGAAGTAAGCTGAGTGGAAGAGGATCAGTGCAGCTTCTGGAGAAGCTCAAATTTGGGAATGTCTAGATTAAAAAGCAGGTCAGTTGGGTGAGTTTTAATTCTGGTTCCATCCATTTCTAACCTTGGGGAATTCACTTAAATTCATGAATCTCCATTTTCTACTCTACAAGATAAGCAATCAAAGACTCTCAAAATCTCCAATAACCTTGAGCAAATGAGGAAGGTAAAATGTGTATTCCTGATTGTTGAATAGAGAACAAAATTTGTGATAACCCCAAGACTGGAAGTGTTAGAATATAATAATAGCTAATTTTTATTGATCATTTACTATTTTCTAAATATGGTGGTAGATGCTGTATGTGCATTTTTTTATTTAATCATCTCAACTTTGAGATAGATTCTACTATTATGTTGATGTTGCAGGTGAGGAATGGAAAGTTAGGTTAAGTAACTGATTCAAGGTTTCTACCTATTAAGTGGGGCAATAAGGATTTTAGCCCAGGTTGTCTAACTCTAAAGCAATGCTTTAAATACTGCACCGCCCTTTGGATAACTCATTTTGCTGGCATGTTTCTCAACGAGTCACTTTTCTGGACTTTTTTCTCTGAGAACAAACACGCTTCTCCATGACTCCTGATAAAATCCAATTCCTAGCTCTGCAGGCAGCCATTCACTCCATTTACGTTCCCACTGGCATCTGTAAATTAGCCTCTGGTAATTATCTGTGTGGGAAGCAGCCAGCAGCACACAGAACATTGTAACTGTTGGTCCGCTTCCAACACGGGAATTCAGCATTCCTGAGTCATAAATCAACCGACCATGGCCCAACTTGAGGATGTGTTTGCTCATGCTTTAAAAATAGGCTTAAATTCCATAGTGGTGGGCAAATACACCTTTTGATATTTACCTGAAATACTAAATCTGCCATCCAAAAGAAAGAACAGGTGTTCACACCTTGCCCTCAAAGACAATTGATTCCCACTCTGTTTGACCAGATGGTGAGTACAATTTGGGAGCACCTGTCCCCTCTTGAGAATGTCTTCTCTCTAGTTCCAGAAGTCATATTCCGGGACCAGAAATGCTGCCTTAGAAATAGCTTTAAGTAATTCAAAAGTTAAGGTTCAGGCGCGATAGCAGGAGAATAACTTATTCCCCAAGAGGCCTAAAATTTCACAGAGTTCTATTTTGTTACATCACTGGACACTGGAACACTTTTTTTATAGTGTTTCATTTTAGAGGAACTGAAGCACATGGGGAAGATGAAACTAAAACTACCCAAAAGAATAGGGAATTTTGGGCTTACGTCAGGTGTGTCTGCAAACTACAGTATGTGGGCCAACCTGCCTGCTGCCTGTTTTAGTAAATAAAGATTTATTAGAACTCAGCCACATCCATTTGTTGGTGTATTGTTTATGGCTGCTTTTGTAGGACACAGCAGAGTTGAGTAGTTACGGCAGAGATTGTAAAATACGTAAAGCCTAAAATATTTATTATATGGCCCTTTACAGAAAAAGTTTGCTGACCACTGGCTTAAGGCATGGAGAATGGGAAAGTTTAATGTACTTCCTTCTTTGGAAGTTTTTATAAGTTTTTTTATCATTTTATCTTTAAAGGAAAAAGCAGAAGTACTCAGATCAGGTTACCCATTGTATCTCATTTAAGAAACTGCAAACTAGATATCCGGAGACTACATACTGAACTGGGCCAGCAGGAGGAAAGGGGAGAGTATCAGCTGTTCTAAATGGCATCAGTTCTATTAGCAGATGGTCACAGTGCCACTCCCATAACAAGGAACAAAACTTCAAACTCTACCATTAAAACACCTCAATACTGTTAGAGGTATCCCACAATAGCAAGCTGTACTTCTTGACATAAGAAGGGAAGAGAAAGAAAGAAAGGATGCCAGACATAATGGAAGACACATCTGAGGGCACTGAAGACGTATTTATCTCATCACAATATCTAGGCCTAGCCATGTAATTCCCTTTAAAAGTGTGTGGAAATGGGCCAAGAAGAAGCTAAACAAACAGGTCTTGCTGGGTGTTCCCCTCAGTAGTATGTTAGTATTAGATCATACCCTTTCTGTCTAATCACATTTCTACATGGCTGTCCATACTTTGTTGAACCTAAGAATAAACGTGGACATTTTTTTAAAACAGAACTGCCATTTTATCTAGCAATGCCACTACTGGGTATTTATCCAAAGGAAAAGAAATCAGTATATCAAAAGAATAGCTGCACACCTATGCTTATCCCAACACTATTCACAATAGCAAATATATGCAATCGGTGAACAGATAAGAAAAATATGGTATGTATACACAAACATTATTCTGCCATAAAAAATAAAATCATATCATTTGCAGCAACACGGATGAAACTGAAGGTAATTAAGTGAAATAATGCAGGCACAGAAGGACATTTATTACATGTTCTCACTTACACGTGGGAGCTGAAAGAAAGCTGATCTCATGAAGATGGAGAATAGAAAGATACCAGAGGCTAGGAAGGGTTTGTGGCTGGGACTGAAGAGACTGGTTAGTGGGTGCAAACACACAGCTAGATAGAAGAAATAAGCTCCAATATTCTATAGCAGAGTAGAGTGACCACAGTTAGCAACAGTGTATTGTATATTTCAAAGTAGCTAGAATAGAAGACTTAAGATGTTATGTTATCGACACATAGAAATGATAAATACTCAAGGTGATGGACACTCCAAACACCCTCACTTGGTCACTACACATTCTATGCATGTAGCAAATACTCAACATGTAGCCCATCGATATGTAAAATACTTTGTATCAATTTTTCTTCAAATGGACACTTTTCTGTGTCTCTTTGGTTTTCATTCTGAAGGCTCCCATGTCACGCAAAACTATGACCAAGTAAATTTGTATGCCTTTTTTTCTTTCCTATTAAAAACTGTGAAAAAAATAAGAAACCATGTAAAATAAGTCTTCTCTGAGGGCTGAGATTCAGACCCTAAAAGTCAAGAACAAAAAACATGATTGATTCTTTGGTCTAAGCAGGAGATGAAGAACAGATTTAAAGAGACAGCACTTAAGATAAATAAACCAGATCCTAAAATAAAAGACGGTTATAATTTTCTACTGAGAATCTAGTCTTCAACACTTGTATTTCAAAATACCTCAGTCTCTTTTATTCCCGAATCATCTTGGGATTCCACTGAGAAAGTAGCAACTTAAATTAGATTGGCAGGTGATTAAGGAAATGACCGAATTAATTTTTACCTTCAAAACAGTATCCTGGAAATTCTCAAATTTAAAAATTTACTGAAGCACAAATTGGTACTGCATGTTGACTTGGTGAACTGAAATTAGTCCTTTAAGCAATGAACAAGCATATCTGATAGCCCAGTGCTCCCATCCCAAAGTAGCTTGATAGTTCTCAGTTCACCTTCTCCATAAAGCAACATGGAAAAATTGATTATAAAAATAGTTCTCCAAGGAAACCCACCTGCTAGTGCTAGTAGAAAAAAAAAAGTAAAGAAGGCTAAGAAAATGATAGCTTTCTAAAGCCATAACATAGAAAGCTATTGGCTACATGCTATATTGTGATAGTCATGAATGCGGGCATTTCAAAGTGCTGTTAGCTATATCCCATGCTTATGTCAAATGAGGTATCAGGGCAGGGAGGGGTATAAAGAAATCCAGTTGTGGTACGGTATATTCTGGGACTTGTAGTGTATCATATACACATTGGTCCAAAATATCAATTAATTTAGCAGTGGGTTTTGAATGCCTCCTTGGTAGAGGAGGACCATGTTCATGAATGTAAGATTCTAGAGGTGAATGTAACCATAAACCAAGTGCAGACAGTGGGGGCAAGTACAATCTCCACATACTGCTATGTCGCAATACAGTGACTTTGAAACGATTCAGCATATTTGACAGTCAATAGTAAAGAAAAACTAATGTGGAGGCTTTAGGGGACAATATTTCAAGACAGTAAAAGATATAGTCCTTCTGGAAGATCAAATGAAGAGCAAATACCTGGAAGTTATCTACTACAGCATCCAACAGGAAACTTCAGAGAACTATTTGGTATTCTCAATAAAATGTATTTTTGAATTTTCTACTATAAAATAATAGAGTACTGCTATCTGGAGAGAACAGGCCAGAATAAGAAATTTAAAATGTGATGAAAATGGTAAAAATTTGTAAAAAAAAAATAGATGAAATGAAAATGAAAAATGTAATGAGACACAGATGAAAATGCAGGAGTTTAGGATTCTCATCTGAGAATTCACAGGGGCATACATGTCTGCTCATCAGTTTTCATTATTTTTATTATTTGCATGTCTTTGGTTGGAAATATGTACGCATTTTTAGGATATAAGCCAGTCACTGGGTTATAGAGTATATGCACATTCGATGTTAGTAAATACTGTCAAACAATTTCCAAAGTGGCTGTACTAATTTGCATTCCCATCAGCAGTGTATGAGAGTTCCAATTACCCCCATCCTTGACAACACTTGACTTTTAGAGTAGCTACTTTTTCAAAACTAGAATTGGTGTGTGTGTATGTGTGTGTGTGTGTGTGTGTGTGTATTTGTATCAATTTCTGGTTTTAATTTGCATTTCTCTGATGCCTAGTAAACGTGACCAACATTTTATATGTTTCCTACCCCTTGGATATACTTTTCTGGGTTCACATCTTTTATCCATTTTCTACTGGACATTCTACCTTTTTCTTATTAACTTGTAGGAGTTCTTTACATATTATGAATACAAGTCCCATTCTGAAGCTTGCCTTTTCATTTTAATAATTTTGATGAACACAATAATTTATCAATTTCCCCTTATAATTGGATCTTTTTGTGTACCATTTTGAATGCTATTTAAGAAATTTTTGCCTAGATTTCTTAGGCAAATTGTTTAGAATGTTTTCCCCCTCCCAGATGAAAATTGTCTGTATTTTTTTCTAAGAGCTTTATTGTTTTACTTAGCCTATCAAGATCTATGATTCATCTGGAATTTATTTTTGTGCATCAAGAGTCAAGAGACACTTTTCTATATTGATAACCAGTTGAACCAACACTATTAGCAATGAAAAACCTTTGACCGTCAATATGGTCACCAATCAAATGACCACATATGTGAGTCATCATTGACATTTGTATGATGTTGAATCTTCTTACCTACTTGTTCTGACCTAAAGCTAATTCCAGTGAATCTAGAACACTTAGTGCAATCTTCAGATCACAGTGGAAGTTCATGGAAACTACGTGACAAAAGGAGTTACAACCTAAGTCCACCACACAGTTGGCCCAATGGGATACTGAACCTAGTCCTCAGATATTTTTTTAGTTTCTGTGTATATGGTTGGAATAAACAATCAGCAGCTGACAAAACATCCACATTGGCTTTCTAATACATTAAGAATTATTATGCAAAGAAGAGCCAGTATATCTCCCTCTCCCTACCAAAATATTAAACCAAAAGTAATATATCTTCATGGAAAATTCTGAATTTAATGCTACCATAAATAATTTGAAATATACAGGACTAATGACTCCTGTCATACCACCATTTGAATCACCATTTGGTCTATGCAAGAAGACAACTGGAGTTTGGGAGATAGAATTAAATCATTGATAACTCAACTAGGTGATGATTTTAATTGGAGCTGCTCTTCCAGATGTGGTCTCTTTATTGTGATCAAATCACAGTAAATAAATAAATAAATAAATAAATGGCAACAAAACCCCTATTACTTAGTAGCAGATATTATCCTGGTAAATGCTTTTTTTCTATCCCATGAAACAAAAATTACCAGAAATATTTTGGGTTTTTTTTTACTTTTTAAAATTTATTTTTAACTGACAAATAATAATTGTACATATTCATGGGGTACATAGTGATGTTTTGGTATATATATGGTGAACAGATCAGGATAATTAGTATATCCATCTCATTTATCAGTTTTTTTTTTTAAACTTTTTTTAACCTTTTAAGTTCAAGGGTACATGTGCAGAATTTGTTGCATAGGTAAGCTTGTGTCATGGGGTTTGTTGTAGAGATTATTTCATCACCCAGGTATTAAGCCTAGTACTCATTAGTTATTTTTCCTGATCCTCTCCTTTGTCCCAACCTCACCCTCCAATAGACCCCAGTGTGTGTTGTTCCCCAATACATGTCCATGTGGTCTCATCATTTAGCTCCCACTTATAAGTGAGAACATATCATATTTGGCTTTCTGTTCCTGCGTTACTTTGCTGAGGATAATGCCTTCCAGCTCCTTTCATGTCCCTGCAAATGTCATGATCTCATTATTTTTTATGCCTGCACAGTATTCCATGGTGTATATGTACCACATTTTCTTTATCCAGTCTGTCATTGATGGACATTTAGGTTGATTCCATGTCTTAGCTCTTAGCATTTTGTTTTCATTTGGTAGGGTCAGAAACACAACTTTTCAAAAATTTGACACAATGATATCTCACCTCTCCAAAACCAAAGGCTTCAACATCCCACGTGACATTGCACTGGTCTACTGTATCCTGCTAAATGAACCTGATAAGCAGGAAGTAGCAGACATCAAGATGCATGCCAACAGACGAAAAACAAATTCTTGAAGAATCGCCACACTGTCTTCCACAATGGTTGAACTAGTTTACAGTCCCACCAACAGTGTAAAAGTGTTCCTATTTCTCCACATCCTCTCTAGCACCTGTTGTTTCCTGACTTTTTAATGATTGCCATTCTAACTGGTGTGAGATGGTATGTCATTGTGGTTTTGATTTGCATTTCTCTGATGGCTAGTGATGATGAGCATTTTTTCATGTGTCTGTCGGCTGCATAAATGTCTTGAGAAGTGTCTGTTCATATCCTTTGCCCACTTTTTGATGGGGTTGTTTGATTTTTTCTTGTAAATTTAAGTTCTTTGTAGATTCTGGATATTAGCCCTTTGTCAGATGGGTAGATTGTAAAACTAACAATCATTCTGAGCAAACTATCACAAGGACAGAAAACCAAACGCCGCATGTTCTCACTCATAGGTGGGAATTGAAAAATGAGGGCACTTGGACACAGGGTAGGGAACATCACACACCGGGGCCTGTCGTGGGGTGGGGGGAGGGGGGAGGGATAGCATTAGGAGATATACCTAATGTAAATGACGAGTTAATGGGTGCAGCACACCAACATGGCACACGTATACATATGTAACAAACCTGCACGTTATGCACATGTACCCTAGAACTGAAATTTATAAAAAGAAAAAGAAAAACAAATTCAATGTAGAGGCTGGGTCAGTAAAGTTTCTAAGGAGTCCAAAGGTCTGAGTCATACTAGAATATTCCTTTCAACATGAAAGGCAATTTGCTGCACATTAATCTCACCAACGGAGTATCGATCATTTTTGTGGCCCACTTTAATTTTAAGAAAAACATGTCCCATACTTGGGTGTGATATGCTGACCTATTTATTGAGCATTCTAAAAGACTGTCAAACATGAGTGGGCTCAGAGCAAGAGAAGGCTTGTTGTTCATTGTTCGTTGCAGAACATGCAACTCCGCCATTTGAACTTTATGACCCAGCAAAGTCAGCAGTTCTCAGAGGTGCACAATCAGGATACTGTGTGAAAATTGTAGCAAGCCCCAGTAGAGTACTCCTAGAGGATTTTGCTGTAATTATTATTTTGAATAAAACTTTTTGGTGGCTACTGGACCTTGTAGAGTCAATGCTTCAACATGGGACACCCAATGAACATACAAGTGGAGTTATCTATCCTGAATTGGGTATTAGCTGATCCCCTAAGCCATAAGTCTAGAGTGCCCAGCAAGACTCCATAATCAAGTGGAAAAGGTAAATATATGAAATTGAATTCAAATAGATGTTAAGGCACAAAATATGAGTTTGCTTTCTATTTCCAGTGTGCATACTCATACTGCAATGTAATGTTGCCAACAACTTGGGGTACATAGTGATATTTTGATACATATAATATCAAAACATAAGGAGGGCCCTACATTAACTTGATTGAGAAGGAAAATACTATTTCCTGCTTTACCAGCTAGCTCTGGATTATATGAGAGTAAATCAGAATTTCCAACAACATGTTGTTGCCCACTTTATTCAGAAAAAGAAATGGTCTGAGGTGTGACTCTTTCTCATTTCTTGGGAAATAGCTAATAGTTTGTCCATATATATATACATACAGCATATATATATATATATATACACATACAGCATATATATATATACATACAGCATATATATATATATACACATACAGCATATATATATATATATGCTAAAAAGCTAATAGAGGAATTAATACCTGATTAACACAAAACAAAAGGACATAAGACAGATAAGACAAATAGAAAAATAGCAAAGTGATGGAACTAAGTATAACTGTAACAGTAATCACATCAAATGTAAATGGTCTAGATATCCCTAAAGACAGATTAATTTTAAAAAGGAAGACCTAACTGCCTACTGTCTACAGGAAACACACTTCAAACACAAAGGCATAAATAAATTGAATGTAAGAGGATAGAATATCATACAAACACAAATCAAAAGAAAGCCAGAATGGCTATATTAATATCAGAAAAAATAAACTTTAAGACAAGGAATATTATTAGATCCAAAAAGGAAATTTTATAATGATAAAAGGGTTAATAAATCAGGGAGATATAACAAATGTAAACTTATATGCCCCTAAGAGCTTTAATATACATGAAAGGAATAAAGTAAAAAAAGGGATACATGGAGAATTCAAAACATTATTTCTTAATATACCTCTTATAGTAATTGATCAAATGACTAGGCAAAATGTCACTAAAGATAAAAAAATTTGAAAAACACTATCCACCACTTTAATTTGGTACTATAAATTAAAAGTCTTAAAAGTACACATTTTGATCAAATAATTACATTCCTAGGAATCTAAAGAATCAGAAATAGGAACAAACCTATAACACAAAATATCCATCTAACTTCATTTCTAATGGTAAGAAATAGATATAACCTAAATTTCTTCTTTTTGTTTTTTAGAGATGGGGGTCTCACTATATTGTCCAAGCTGGACCAGAACTCCTGGATTCAAGTGATGCTCCCAGAGGTATCAGCCTCTCGAGTAGCTGGGTCCACAGGTATATACCACTGTGCCTGGCTCTAAATTTTTAATAACACTGAATTTTAGGTATTGCAAATGATCATATGTATATACAAACACTAAACATTTTTATGAAAATATATTAACCTAAGTATTTTACCTAACACTATCTGAGAAAAAGATAAACTTTAAACAACAGTCATAGGCAGGTAGTGGGGAGATAAGGGAACTTTGACCTTCTGTAGTTTATATTTCTATAATATTAAAATTTCAAAATTAAATCTGTATTACTTTTTTCATCAGAAAAAAGTATTAAGAAAAAGCAGAATGTGAAATTGAATACACAGAAGAATTATCTGTGTAAAGCTTAGCTATGAATACATAGAGAATATGGCCCCTTCCCTTAAGAGGCTTAGAACTGTAGGGGCAGCTGAGAGATACTCAGGTATAGAGTGATTACAGCTGCCATGAAAGTACATGATGTGGCACCTGCCTGAGATTGGGATGGGAGCGGGTGAGCAGTATGTGGGAGGCTTTGGAGAAACAATCTTTACGGAAAAGCTAAGACAGAGAAAGTTACTCATTTGACCCATCTGCAGCATTTGGCTGTTGACAATTTCCTTCTTAATTTCAACACTCCTGGTTTCATCTTACGTGTCTGACCACTTCTCTGCCTCTTTGATTCGCTCATCTTTTTCTACCTACTTTTAAATCTTGAAGTTCCTCAAAACTTGGTGGGGGAGATTCTAAAAATGGCTACAATGCTAAGTAAATACAGAGATGCTGAGGAAACTGAGATGGCATGGGAGGAGCCTAGAGACAGTATACAATTCTTTCCCCTCTTTACAATTTTGAAGTTTTATTTTATTATTATTACTATTATTTTGAGATGGAGACTCACTCTGTTGCCCCAGCTGGAGTGCAATTTGTTATCACAACAATACACAAACAGGCCAGGTGTGGTGGCTCACACCTGTAATCCCAGCACTTTGGGAGGCCAAGGAGGGCAGATTATCTGAGGTCAAGAGTTCAAGACCAGCCTGACCAACATGGTGAAACCCCATCTTTACTAAAAATACAAAAATTAGCCAGCCATGGTGGCGGGTGCCTGTAATCTCAGCTACTCAGGAACCTGAGGCAGGAGAATTGCTTGAACCCGGGAGGCAGAGGTTGCAGTGAGCCGAGATCGCCCCACTGCAATCCAGCCTGGGAAAAAGAGCCAGACTCCATCTAAAAAAAAAAAAAAAAAAGTTTAAGAAATCAAATAATGTAAAACTAATCATAAAAAGAGGCATCTCTCCTCCACCAGTCTGTAGCCTTCTTCTCCTCCACCATCCTCCCGGTGTAGTTCTATCACAGCTGTAAACTAAATCATGATATAGTGTTTCCATCATTAGGAGTGCATTAAGAAAGGTCTTGTAATTACATTTCTTTCTTGTCCTGTTTTCTGGGATTTGGAAAAATTATTAATGCCTCTTGCTTTTTTCTTCTAATTCGAAAGTCTCAGGGTCTCCCACACGTTCATAAATCCTCGTCAAAACTATTTTCTGTGTGGTCAAATGCGTCAGATAATCTACGTTTCTAAAACTACACCCTCTCCATTTTAAATTCTCTGTAGTTAGAGAATGATTTCTGACTCCTGAGGCGGGCAAGGGTGATTGGCTGCTTCTCAAGTGGGGAGGTGGGCACGGGGGATGGCGTCAGAAACTATGACAGAAACTTTCAGGTAACCCCCTCTGCTTTTAGTCCCGTGACTTCACCTCATCCTCCCTGGAGCCGGCTGCTACCAAATCCTGAAAAGGTCTCAGTTCTCATCAGCCAGCGCTGGGTTTCCATCTTCCTCTGTTCTGCTTTCAATCTTAGAAAAATGTGTTTACATCTCCCGTCCATTATTGCCTCTTCTCTTTCTCTAAAATCTTATGGTTTGACTTATTTTACTGTCAATTTAGTGAGAATTGGGAAGGGCAGAAAGAGGAATGTCTTCAGTCCATCATTGAACAGCACTCCTATCCTTACCTTTTTAATCAACTTGTACCAAAGTTACCTTTTCTTCTGTACAATTCCTTTCTCAGCTACCCATGTACCTGTGTGTGCCCCTCCTAACCCATGTAGTCAAGTTCCCACTTCCCTTCTTCCCTCACCGGGCCGATCTTGATTTCCTGTTAACCTTTTCCTGTGGAATAATGTCCTGGATATCAGATGCAGACAAGAAGAAACAAAAGAAACTTGAGAATATTTTGAATATGGTTGTTGTTCTCTGAGAAGTCATCTGGCTCCTTCCCTCAAGGAGAGGCCACTTCCCTAACTCAATGTCCTCGGGAAAATGTTAGCCTTGGTAGCTCACCCATCATCCCTTCATCATGCAGGGCTCCCAGGTCACAATGAGGTTCAGCCAGCTGACCTGCAATGCATTCTTATTCCTGGAATGTTGACGTCTCCCTGGTAACAATTTCCATGGGTTCTCCCTTGTTTTTAGGTTGCCATTTAACAGAGTATTGAAAGCTGCAAACTTTTCTGGAATTCTTACTGAAATTACTTTCATTTGGGGACATTATACTAATCCCATTATATAGCAGGCTCAAATTTCTAAAAGGGTCCTTGGGCACACATACTACAAAATACCCACATGTATGCCTATCTTCTCTATCTATACTCACTCCTCGGGTGCCCTCATCCCATTTATGCTTTTACATGCCATCTCTATGCTGGTGGCTCACACATTTATTTCTAAAGTCCTGGCCTCAACATGTGTATATTTGACTGTCTACTCTACTTTTCTACTTGGTTGTCTAATGTGTATCTCCTAACACAATCAAAACCAAGCTGTCAGTGCAGCAAACTTTAGCTCTGGTAATCTTTTCATTATTAGATTATAAATGATTTTTTAAAGTTCTTTTATCTGTATATATCACCAGCATCTGACTGAGAAATTGACTGTATTTTGGTTTCTTAGTCGTGGACTCATCAGGTATCCATCTCATCAGGGTATCTATCTTAGGGCTGTTTTGAAGGTCTGGGCTTTTATGACCCCATGGTAGATCTAAGGGACTTTTGTTTAAAACAAAAAGACACCAACAACAACAAAAGCAGGTTTTCTGAGGCATGGTTGAAAATAGAAAAGGCTGCCGGATATGGTGGCTCATGCCTGTAATCCCAGCACTTTGGGAGGCCAAGGCAGGCAGATTACCTGAGGTCAGGAGTTCAAGACCAGCCTGGACAACATGGTGAAACCCTGTCTCTACAAAACATACAAAAATTAACCGGGCATGATGGCGCATGACTGTAATCCCAGCTACTTGAGAGGCTGAGGCAGGAGAATTGCTTGAGCCTGGGAGGTGGAGGCTGCAGTGATCTGAGATCACGCCACTGCACTCCAGCCTGGGTCACAGAGCAAGACTGTCTCAAAAAAAAAAAAAAGAAAGAAAGAAAAAGAAAAAGGAAAGAAAATAGAGAATGCTCAAAGAGTCGACATGGGATGTGGAGGTGGAAGGATGGGAGGAAAAATGGTGAGCTCCTCAAGGGGTGTACATGCCCCCAACACTTGGAGATAAACAAAATATATTTAACTACTTATATTAATTCTAAATATATATTTAAATATTAATATTAATTTCATTTAACATTGCAATACAAACAATAAAAGTTTTTTCTAAGTATAATTTTAAATGGCTGTTCTGTATGGATCTAATAAAATTTACCTTCATTTCCTGTTCAGTGGATATTTAACTTGTTTCTATTTTTCACAGTTATGAATGATGCTATAATTAATATGTTTTGTGGAAATCTGCATTTTGGATTATTTCCTTAGGATAGATTCTGAGAACTGGAAGTGCCAAATCAGACAATATTAACAGTTTGAGAGTTTTCAATATATACAATCAAAGTGTAATACAAGCATGTAATTACAATTTAAAATTTAAACAAGTATGCTCAAGCATTAGACATTTGCTGTTTGATAACTGCATACTTAAAACAGTATCTCATTGTTTTATTTTACATTCATCTGATTATTATTTTTTTGCCAGGGGACAAGGTCTCACTCTAGCACTCAGATTGTATGTAGTGCAGTGGGGCAATCAGGGCTCACTGCAGCCTGGACCTCCCAGGCTTAGGCTATTCTGCTGCCTCAGCCTCCTGAGCAGCTCAAACTACAGGGGCATGCCACCATACTTGGCTAAGTTTTTTATTTTTTGGTAGAAATGGAGTCTAGCTATTTTGACTAGGCTGGTCGCAAACTCCTGGGCTCAAGTGATCCTCCTGCCTCAGCTTCCCAAAGTGCTGGGATTACAGGCATGAGCCACCATTTGAGAGTAAAATTCTTAATGTTTCTTGGGTAATTCTCTGAATTGTTCACAACTTTTTCTCTTTTACTGAACTTGAGTCTCAATATATTTTTATTGATTTGTGTGATTTATTTATATACTAAACATGATATTCCCTTAGAGAGCTGTTAAAAATACTTTTCTTCTTTGTTATTGGTTTTTTACTTTGTATTGTTTTGTTCTAAATTTTTAAGTCAAAACAATTTTTTAATTTTTCTTTAGGTAAGAAATCAAATCAACCACAGTCTTCTCTTTCATTGCCTTTGGGCTAAATATCCTGTTCAATCTCTGGATCAGAAGACTATTCATTTTTATTTACATTTTGTTGTTTTTAAATGCAGTCTTTTAATCCATCAGAAAATAGGTGAGCATTTAGTAAAATAATTCTAAACAGACTATTTTCTAATTACTTTATAAGTAATCATTAAATAATCCTACCCTTTATTACTTATGTTACATCATTTATCAGATATTACATTTTATTTGAATCACATTCTTCTTCTGAATTATCTTTCTACTTATCTGCCAGTACTGTGCAGATATAATTGCTATGCTTTATAATAAGTAATAAATATTTTCAATACAATCCAGTAAGCTTGTTTCTGCCTCATTATATTTTTTCAGCATTTTCTTAATGTTGTTTTATTTCACCTGTTTATTCTTCTAAGTGATACTAAAAAAACTGGCAATTTCCAAAAGTAAAAAAGAAATCCAATTTAATTTTTATAGTAATTACATTAAAACTTTAATTTGGGAAGAATTGACATTTCCACATTAATCATGCTTCTCTTCAGAAACATTTTACATGTCTACATCATTCAAATTATTTTCTGTCTCTCAGATAAATTTCATCATTTTCTCCATAAAGATTCACAGTTTTTGTTTTAGTGTTATTCGTAGACATTTTCTCTTTTTTGTTGCTAATGCAAACAGAATCTTTTTTTTATTGTAACTGCTAACTGGTTACTGCCACAGAAATTAGCCACAATAATTGTAACCACAAAAACTTTTAAAGTGAGTATTAGCAAATGCTCACTCATGTAAAAGAGAACAAAATTCTCTGTAAAATCCTCATTATGCATCTACCTTCAAGAGCTGTAATTTTCTGGTGAATCCTCTAAAATAAACTTGATATACCCCAAGGTAATTAAGTTGATTTGTTCAATTATTTAAACAATCAACTTTTGGATAAAGTATACTACTTACTAAAACAACCATTATTAGTTGAAATGGTTGACCTGGGATCATAATTTTTGCCAATGATCAGATCACAGAGCCAGTTGTGTACTGAGATTTCTCCCAGTCTGTGATAATAAAGCCATGCAATCTGCATAAGGAAGAATGCTTAACTTTTTCTCCTCTCTAACGGGGAGATGCAGGGAAGAGGGTAGGTGTCCCCCTTGTTTGAAGGTGGTACAGTCTCTAAGAGACATGTGCCATACAGAAGAAAGGCCAGAATGTGTCCTTTTTGTAAGGGCACATTTCCCATGAAAATGAATTAATCTGGGCAGACTGTCAATGAGTGTCAGTGGTTACATGTGACAAAATTTCAACTCAACCCAGCTTAAGACAAAAAAAAAAAGCAATTTATTTACTCAAATCACTGGGAAGCCCAGCAGGAGATCAGGTACACGCAGAGTCTTCCTCTCCCTCCCGGCTTCATCTGCCTCCTCATTTTTCCTTTCGGTTCTGCTTGTCTATGCTTCTTCCTTATTGGCTTCACCCTCCAATGGAGAGAAGTACAGTTTATCTCTAACCCTGAAACTCATGTATCTTCCCATATATTTGCCATGTGTATTTGTCTGTTTTCATGCTGCTAATAAAGACATACCCAAGACTGGGTAATTTATAAAAGAAAGAGGTTTAATGGACTCACAGTTTCACATGGCTGGGGAGGCCTCACAATCATGGCAGAAGGCAAAGGAGAAGCAAAGTCATGTCTTACATGGGAGCAGGCAAGAAGGCTTGTGCAGGGGAACTCCCATTTATAAAACCATCAGATCTTGTGAGACTTATTCACTACCAGGAGAACAGTATGGGGGAAACTGCCCCCGTGATTCAATTATCTCCACTTGGCCCCACCCTTGACACGTGTGGATTATTACAATTCAAAGTGATATTTGGATGGGGACACAGCCAGACTATATTGCCATGTACTTCTCATTTTCTCTGGTTAACATATCATTAATACAATAGACCAATATGAAGTTCTAAACAATGTCCAGATAATCCGAGTCCCTTCAGACTGTATTACAACAGAGGCAAAGACAGCATAGTCCAGACGAAAGACCATAAATGCATACTGTGGTTCAATCCACAAAAACTAAAACCGGTTCTCAACTTTCTTCTTGATAATGGAAAGAATACATTCACCATACTGATAGCTGTAGACCATTTATCCAACATTATGTTAATGTGTTCTAGCAAAAGTATATCAGGCATTGCAACCACCAATGATGCTACTATGTGATTAAATTTGTGGTAGTCCACCATCATCTACCAGAAATTATTTGGTTTTTGTAAGATTAAAACTGGTGAACTAAATGGAAATATGATGGGATGACCACTTCTACCTTTTTTAAGTCTTTGCATAGGGGTGTTAATCTCTGGAATATACCTAGCTTGCAGTATTTTTTTTCATTTACTCTCTTGACCAGGAAGTAGGACAGTTTCTAAGGCTTCCAGTTGGCCTCTCCGTATAACCTCTCCTCTTAACCCAAAAGCCAAGAAACCAATATGAGAATGCTACCAACTTCCACATATCTCCATTCTAAGAGACTTTTCTTCTTTTCTAATATAATCATTGGAGGCTAGAAATTCCACTCTAAGCATTACATCTTACAATTTTGATGTTGTAGTTTTATTATTACCATTACATTTGAAACATTTCCTAACTTGCCTTGTAATTTCATTTGAAACGCATGGATTGCTTCGAAGTGTGCCCATTCTAATTAATTATTTTGGAAAACGGGAAATGACTACTGAGTGGGTTTGTGGATCCTTTTTGAGCTGGACTTGGCCAAGACTCCATTCATTACCTAGATCCCATATGCCATCATTCTGAGAGACATAATAATGCTTTTGGTCCCCAGATATCAATGTCAACTTGGACCCTGAGTCCGAGAGTCTTCAAAATGTTGAGGTATTCCGCTTTACACAGGGTGGGGTTTTCCCAGTGCAACACTACCTGAGTAAACAGCCATCATCTTCTTGGAAAAGAACTTGGAAACTAATTAATGCATACACCTGCCATGGCACTTCTGCATGCTTCCTCACAGGAAAGACTTTCTCCTTCAGTCAGTGTCTGGGAAGTGACTCCATCCAAAAATTGGGCAAGAATAGTGACTTTTTTTTTTTTTTTTTTTTTTTTTTTTTTTGAGACAAGAGTCTCACTCTGTCGCCCAGGCTGGAGTGCAGTGGCGCGATCTCGACTCACTGCAAGCTCCGCCTCCTGGGCTCAGGTCATTCTCCTGCCTCAGCCTCCCGAGTAGCTGAGACTACAAGTAAACGCCACCATGCCCAGCTAATTTTTGTATTTTCAGTAGAGACAGGGTTTCACCATGTTGGCCAGGATCGTCTCAAATTCCTGACCTCGTGATCTGCCCACCTTGGCTTTCCAAAGTGCTAGGATTATAGGCGTGAGCCACTGCACCCAGGCCCTGATCATTCATCCTGATTTATTTTGCTTATATATTAACAAATGAAGCAATACTCTTATCAATGGCCATTTCTCTTTACCCTAGTACATCACGTGCTATTAAACATTTCCATAACTCTCTGAAGTTCAAGCCTGCCTGGCTACCATTCCAAGCCTGCTACTTATTGAGAGGTGAAGCCATCTGGACTTCCTGAGTGGAGTGGGGACTTGGAAAACTTTTCTGTCTTACAAGGGGATTGTAAAATGCACCAATCAGAGCTCTGTAAAAACGCACCAATCAACACTCTGTGGCTAGCTAGAGGTTTGTAAAATGGACCACTCAGCACTCTGTAAAATAGACCAACCAGCACTCTGTAAAATGGACCAAACAGCAGGACATGGGCGGGGACAAATAAGGGAATAAAAGCTGGCCACCCCAGCCAGCAGTGGCCACCTCAGCCAGGCCACCAGCTCGGGTTCCCTTCCACACTGTGGAAGTTTTGTTCTTTTGCTCTTCACAATAAATCTTGCTGCTGCTCACCCTTTGGGTCCATCCCATCTTTAACAGCTGTAACACTCACCACAAAGATCCACAGATCCATTCTTGAATCCAACTCCAGACCCATTATTACAATAATTGCACCCATTTTGCTTTCAATGGGTAAGCAGTGCCACCTGGCCTCCATCACGAAGGCCAGGTGATGTGACAGCATCTCCTGCTATCAGTTCTGACCTACAATGCTCTCTACAGAGGCCATAGCTGATCCTGTGATGAATCCTGTGATCTGGACCTTGGATGAGTCTTCAGGGTTGTCCCAGATTAAGGCAAGTTGGCCATGCCTTTGTACCCCTGAATTGACCAGTCAATGACTGCAGACTGCACAAACATCCCCAGGAGAAAGTGTAACTTTTGGTGGAGCATCTCCCTTCAGCCCACAACTCCCAAAAAGAGAGGGAGTTGGGAGCTGTGACCAGCCAGCACTCCCAGCAGCTGGGAAAATGAGGGCCTTGGTACAGAAGCGGGGGATCTGAAAGTGCATGCCAGCATTCACCACAGCAGCATACATTTGAGGAATGGTTAAAAAAAAATACATATATATGTATATAGTTCTTTAGAGGGTAGGAGAACAAAGAAATGCCTTTTTTTTTTTTAAAAGAAAAATTGAATTACACTCTAGCTCAAGCCAGCTAAAGCCATTTCCACAAAGTTAACAAATAAACAAATTCAGGAGATTAGGCACATAGTTCCGAAGTAGTCATTTAATAACTCCCAAGGCAGGAAACTTTCTGTGATATTGTGATTTATAATAAGAAATACACATTTGATCTTCATCTAGGTTCCAAATTTCAGAAGTGATACATGTCTTTTCGTACGTTAATGAGATGATTGATGGTGGGGGGGGACCCTTGGTAGCCTCGGGATGAGGGTTGATTGCCAGGGGAGCCAACCAAGTGATTGGAGGGTTGGAACTTTCAGCCCCACCCCTTTACCCCCAGGAGACGAGAGGAGCTGAAGGTTGAGTTGATCGCCAATCACCAATGATTTAATCAACCATGCCTATGCAATGAAGCCTCCATCAAAACCCAAAAGGGCAGGGCCAGGAGAGCTTCTGGGTTGCTGAACATATCCATATTCCGGAAGAGTGGTGCACCCCAGCTCCACGGGGACAGAAGCTCCTGTGTTCTAGACCTTCTGAACCTCTCCTATGTATCCCTTCATCTGGCTGTCCCTTTGTATCCTTTAAAATATCCTTCATAATAAATCAGCAATAGTAAGTAGAGTGTTTCCCTGAGTTTTGAGCCACTCTAGCAAGTGTAAATCCGAGGAAGGGGTGATGGGAACCTCCAATTTATAGTTAGTTGTCAGAATTTGCAATTGGCATCAGAAGTGGGAGGCAGCCTTGTGGGACAGATCCCTTAACCTGTGGTTTCTGACTCTCTAGGTAGGTAGTGTCAGAGCTGAATTACACTGTAGGACACTCAGTGTCAGAGAATCAGTTGGTGTGGAAGAAAAACCCGACACATCCAGCTCTGTGTTGAGTATGAGAGTAGCAAAAACAATCTAGTTTCTCCTGTCTCCTGGACCTTTTCTGGGTACATTCTTTCACTTCAGCTTTATGAAGAACTAGGGTATTTGGATTGCACACTGGGTGCCCTAAAAGTCCAAAGATGTCCACAGATGTATTTTGATTGGCACACAGTGTGTTTTCCAAAAATTTAATTTGTTGCAGTTAAAATCAGTAAATCTTTAAAATATGATTGTTGATTTCTCTTGAAAAATGGCAGCTCTAGGAACACTGGTCCAACAAGAGTACATTTTGAGGAGTAGGCTGCCCTCTCCCCAGTGTTATACTCAATGGCCAGCACCCAGCCAAGCTGGCCAGTCCCTGCTGGTGAAAGCTCTTTTGATTGCCCAGGGCATAACAGATCGGAGTTGGCAGAGCTTCAGGCTGCAATGAGTTTGTACCACTGAGCAGCCAAGAGCCTGGAGTATATTTTTTTTTATTTCCTAGGCTTGCAAAGCATCCCTAATAGAATTTGCAAACACTTAGATCCATCTAATTCTTTAAAACCTCTAATCTCTAAAGGCCAACCATGTAAACAGACAGAGGCTGAGACAACATGCCAAGGTTAAAAGAGAACTGATCACATTTTTGGACAGTCCACAATATCCTCCTTTAAATGTAGTAGTAAACAGAAATTATGCTGTATTCCATAATGCTGGCTTCTGGGCCAGATTTTTTTTTAATTTCCCCCAGATTATCTCCCACTCTACCATTTAGTATTAAAAGGTATGTTGTAAGAACTTTTCCATCTTAAATATGAGCATCTTTATGAAACGAGGAGTAGGACAATCCTCCTGCTCAAAAGAAGGTTGTCACTGGACGCAAAGCATGCTACGGCATTCAGATTCCTGAGATTCATAACTGTGTTGCATAATATGTACAGTTGACCAACGAATTTTGAGTGACCATGTACTCCAATAGACAGCAAGCACCTTGCCAAAAGAAAAATTTAAACGTTAAGAGCAACCACATCTAAACGACGGGGTAACCAAGTAAGAAATGGCATGCACAGATTCCCATCATTTAAGACTGGGATTGGGACGCAGCCTTATTAATGTGAACAGGGAAAATTGTGGTTACTTTTATTTCTAACAAAGTGTGTTGGGTTTTCTTCCCTCATCACAGAGAGGGACAAAGTTCAAAACCTTGACCATGGTCTGAAACACAAATCTCTTGAAATGAATAGCACTCAGAAAACAAAGAGTGGCTCACGCCTGTAATCCCAACACTTCAGGAGGCCAAGGTGGGAGGATCATTTGAGAAGAGGAGTTTCAGATCAGCCAGGGAAACATAATCAGACCCCCGTCTCTACAAAAAATTTAAAAAATTAGCAGGGCATGGTGGTGCATGCCTGTAGTCCTAGCTACTGGGGAGACTAAGACAAGAGGATCGCTTGAGCCCAGGAGTTCAAGGCTACAGTGAGCTATGATTGCACCACTGCACTCCTGGCTGGGTGACAAAGTGAGACCCTGTCTCTAAAAATAAATAAATAAAAATAAAAGAAAAAAATAAAAACAAGCCATCAGGATCTTTATATACAAACCCCAAATGGTGACTAGTAAAGTCTTCCTCCTAAGGGTCAGGTAGGTGTTTCCTAATAACCCTGTTTCTTTGGTAATAATGGATTTGGCTGATGCAAGCAGAACAAGGAGAAATATGATGTGATGCCCTGGGAAAACCAGGAAGGATCCCGACATTGGACACTTTCCAGTGGTAAGATGAATCCATCTCACTGCAGTCTTGTGGGAATGAAGTAATCAAAATTATGCTATGGCCTATTATGCATAGAATGATGAACAGATGTTTTTGATCTCCTCGGAGGAGCCAGCACATAGGAAAGGGCACACACGGCATGCAGTCATGTTTCTGCAGCCTTAATGTGCATCATCATCACCCACGGAGTCAGTCTGTCAGGGTGGGGCCCAGGAATTCACATTTTTTGGCAAACAGTGTAGGTGACTCAAATAGAGGTGGTCTGTGGACCCTGTTTGCATAAACCTTGCATATAAGTGAACCAGAAAGAACTTTCTAGAAATTGGGAGCTAAATCTCTAGAGCTTTCCTAGTGACCTGCACAGTGTCTGGAAAGCAGAGGAAGGGGATTTGAGACAAAGTGGCTTGGTTTTTTGAGACAGGGTCTGGCTCTGTTGCTCAGGCTGGAGTGCAGTGCACCATCACGGCTCACCGCAGCCTTGAACTCCCTAGCCAAAGCGATCCTCCTGCCTGGACCTCCCAAAGCAGTGGGATTACAGGCATGAGTCACCACACCCAGCCTCAAAGTAGCTCTTTTTTTTTAGAATAAAACCTAATTGGCTACATCAGCAGGAGACCAAGAAGTAAAAATTATTTTGGAAAGAGGTCTAGAGTAAGAATAATGTTGTTGGAGTTCTTGTCTCCCATCAACTCTGACAGAGTAAACTTCGACAAATCATGTTACTATTTGTGTTTCTTTGGACATGATTTTCCACATGAATAAAATGAGATTGGCCTACAATATTTAGGTGCCCCATCTTTATTTTCTATTGCTTCCTAACAAATTACCACAAAATTAATGGCTTGTGTATTAGTCCGTTCTCACACTGCTAGTAAAGACATACCAAAGACTGGGTAATTTATAACGAAAAAGAGGTTTAATGGACTCATAGTTCCACATGGCTGAGGAGGCCTCACAATCATGGCAGAAGGCGAAGCAGGAGCAAAGGCATGTCCTACATGGCAGCAGGCAAGAGAGCATGTGCAGGGGAACTGCCCTATATAAAACCATCAGATCTCGTGAGACTTATTCACTTTCACAAGAACAACACAGCAAAACCCACCCCCATGATTCAGTTACCTCCCACAGGGTCTCTCCCATGACACGTGGGGACTATGGAGCTACAATTCAATATGAGATTTGGGTGGGGACACAGCCAAACAATATCAGCTTGAAACAGCAAAAGTATATTATCTCACAGATTCTGGTGGCCAGAAGTCTGGGCTTGGCAAGGCTGGGTTATCTGCTCAGAGTCTCACTGAGCTGAAATCAAGGTGTCAGCCTGGGCTGCCAACCTGAATTCTAATCTAGAGTTCAGGGTCTTCTTCTGTTATGGACTGAATTGTGTTCCCCCAAAATCCATACATTGAAACCCCAGCTCCCAACGTAACTTTTATTTGGAGATAGGACCTACAATGAAAAGGACTGGTGTTCTTATACGAAGAGGCAGCGGCCAGATGTGATGGCTGATGTCTGTAATCCCAGCACTTTGGGAGGCTAAGGCAGGAGGATCACTTGAGGCCAGGAAGACTTTGAGGTTACAGTGACCTATGATCACACCACTACACTCCAGCCTGGGTGACAGAGTGAGACTCTGTCTCTAAATAAAACATAAATATTAATACTTTTTAGAAATAAAAATAAAAAGTGGAGGCGATGCCAAAAATAATCTCTCCCCCTTCACTCCCACATGCTACATGCAAAGGAAAGGCTGCAGGAGGGCATAGCGAGACGGTGTCTGACTGCAAGCCGGGAAGAGAAGCCTCACCAGAAATCAACACTGCCAGCACCTTGATTTTGTACTTCCAGCCTCCAGAACTGTGAATAAACAAATTCCTGTTGTCCAGGCCACCCAGTCTACGATATCTTGTTATGGAATCCCAAGCAGACTAATACATCTTTGAAGCTCACATGGTTGTGGCATAATTCAGTCCCTTGTGGCTGTAAGACTGAGGTTCTGTTTCTGTGCTGGCTGTCAGCCAGGAGCTGCCCTCAACCCCTAGAAGGCACCCACATTCCTCACCAGGGTCCCCTGCCTCTTCAAGTCAGCAATGGAGAAATTCCCACACACTGAATCCTCTTGGTGCTTCACAACTTTGTCTTCCTCTGTCTCTGACCTCTGTATCTTGATCTAGATCTAGATTTAAAAAGCTCATGTGGTTAGGTAAGTCTCACTCTGATAATCTGTCCACTTTAAGGTCAGCTGATATGGGACCTTAATTACATCTGGACATATCTCTCTAAGCAGTCCATACATTCATGTTTAATTAAACAATGGGGAAGAGGTGTGGGTGCACCAGGGTGCAGGAATCTTGGGGGCCAAGTTAGAATTCTGCCTACCATATACCTTCCAAAAAAATCAGCTAAGCTCTAATATTGTATAGTTTTATAATGTAAAGAAATTTCATTATTTTTTATTTCATTTATAATGTCATATTTCTAGCAAATCTGGACATACTATAGAGTACCACTGTAAAGTTTCTAATCTTATGTTTTTCTCCTCAAAAAAATAACATCTGTGGTCATTGGCTTTTCTAAAACTTTTTATTTTGTATTTTCTTGGGTACATAGGTGTATATATTTATGGGGTACATGAGATGTTTTGATACAGGCATGCAATGTGAAATAAACACATCATGAAGAATGGGGCATCCATCCCCCCAAGCATTTACCCTATGAGTTGCAAATAATCCCATTACACTCTTTAGGTTATTTTTAAATGTATAGCTATTATTCACTATAGTCACCCTGATGTGCTATCAGATAGGTCTTATTCATTCTTTCTAATTTTTTGTACCCATTAACCATTCCCACCTCCCCAACAGCTCTTACTATCCTTCCAGCCTCTGGTAACTATCCTACTTTCTATATCCACAAGTTCAATTGTTCTGATTTTCAGATCCCACAAATAAATGAGAACATGCGACGTTTGTCTTTCTGTGCCTGACTTATTTCACTTAATGATTTCCAGTTCCATCCATGTTGTTGCAAATGACTGGATCTCATTCATTTTTTATGCCTGAATAGTACTCCATTGTGTATATGTATCACATTTTCTTTATCCACACATCTGTTGATGGACACTTAGGTTGCTTCCAAATCTTAGCTATTGCTTTTTTATTAAAGAGGTTAACCAGAGTAGAGATTAAAGGTTAGTAGGTTTTTCTTCCCAAAACCTCAAAAATAAGCAGAGAAATACATTTGGTCTACTAATTTCCATCTTTAAAAGGATAAAACTGAAGATATTTAAAATCATTTGATCTACTAGTTTTAAAATATTTCTTTAGCTGAGGTATTCTCTAATCAAGTGAAATCCTACATAGAACCACAGATAACAATTAGGCCATTCTGCTGAAGTAAAAAATGGAGTTCCACTTGGTCCACAGTAAATATAAAAGCACATCTGTGCCTAAAAATCATTTGAAAGTCACCAATGTAATTCTACTCCCCTGCTATACTGAGACTTTCAAGTGTAGAGACAGGATATGTCTTGTCAAGAGAAGACTATATTTTAAAATCAGAGGTAAAGTCAAACCTGGAACTCAGATTTCCCAAGTCTTGA
The DNA here is from genome assembly GCF_000001405.40 of Homo sapiens. NCBI lineage: Eukaryota > Metazoa > Chordata > Mammalia > Primates > Hominidae > Homo > Homo sapiens. Next base: position 31,262,610 of record NC_000008.11, on the reverse strand, counting down.
TTTCATGTCCTTTACAGTCAGCATGTGTAGTAAACTCTGGATCTTTCCCTGAATCTTTTCCCCCTCCTCAGCTTCATGTATCCATCATATAATTATTGGAAAGGTATGTTAAGTCCACTTACAGGGAGAGAGCCTGGTTATTTGAACCTAATCAAGGTAGTCCCTTTACAGTTAACTGGTTAAGGTAAACCAGACCTAAGCCACTGTATAAATAGCATTCCTTGGGCCAACATGATTGTGTCAGAAATTAGCATATAACCCCATACAGGCCATTTAATCCTGAAGGGAACTTTACTGCCAAAGAAAATCCCTGGCTGAGTGCAGTGGCTCACGCCTGTAACCACAACACTTTGGTAGGCTGAGTCAGGAAGAATTATTTGAGCCCAGGAGTTTGAGACCAGCCCAGGCAACATGGTAAAACTCTTATCTCTACAAAAAATATAAAAAATTAGCTAGGCAGGGTGGCACACGCCCATAGCCCCAGTTTCCTGAGAGACTGAGGTAGGAGAATCACCTGAGCCTGGGTGGTTGAGGCTGCGGTGAGCCATGACTGCACCACTGCACTCCAGCCTGGGCAACAGACATAGACCCTCTCTAAAAAAAAAAAAGAAAAAAAAATTCCTCAGCCTCTTGAATCAGTAAAAGCCAGTCCTCACGAAGATTGATGCTGAGCTTTGAAACATCTCAGTATCTAACTGGATTAAGGTAATCAGCCCATCCTGCATATCTTCCAGAAGCAAAAGTAAATCATCATGACCTGAGAAAGACAACAATGCCCAGCCTCAACTTTTTATTATAATTTTTCATACACCACATAGAGCATTCAACCTAAATTTGCCAGACATCAAACAGACAAGAATTGTCTGTGGTTAAGAAATAAACAGACAACAGAAACAAACCTATGGAAAACCCAGATATTTTACTTGTTAGACACAAAATTTAAAATAACTGTGGTTGATATATTCAATTTAATAAGGCATGATGGAAATTCTCACAACTGAAAAGTATTTTAAAAATTGAATGAAAATTTTGAAACTGAAAACCACAATTATTTATATGACTCAACTGAAGATAGAATGACAAAAAGATAATTCATAAGAAAATATCTGGAATGGATTATAGAGAGAAAAAAACTGGAAAATACAAAAAGAGTTTAAGAAATCTAAGGAATATGATTAAAATGTATAACAAATATAATTGGGCTTCCAGGATATGAGAGAAGAATGGGAATTAAGTGATATTTTATGTCATAGTGCTAAGGATTTTCCAAAAATAATGAAAGACATCAATCCACAAATTCAAAAGGAACTATAAACCCTAAGTAGGATAAATACAAAGAAAGTCATATCTAGGTACATCAAAGTAAAACTGCTGAAAATCAAAGGAGAAAATTTTTAAAGAAACCAAAGTTTAAAACAAAATTGACTGGGTGCAGTGGCTCATACCTGTAATTCCAGGACTTTGGGAAGCCAAGTGGGTGGATCATGAGATCAAGAGATTGAGACCATCCTATCTAACATGGTGAAACCCCATCTCTACTAAAAATACAAAAAAATTAGCTGGGCATGGTGGCATGCGCCTGTAGTCCCAGCTACTCAGGAGGCTGAGGCAGGAGAATCTCTTGAACCCGGGCGGCGGAGGTGGCAGTGAGCCGAGATCGCACCACTGCTCTCCAGCCTGGGTAACAGACTGAGACTCTGTCTTAAAAAAAAAAAAAAAAAAAATTACCTTCAAAGGAAAAAACAGTAAGACTTGGGCTAACTTTTCAGAAAAAAGAATGAAAGCCAAAAGATGATGGGATATCTTCAAGTGCTCTAACATAACATTTTATACACAATAAAAATACCTTTTAAAAGTGAAATTCAATAAACTTATGCCTAAACAAATGAGAATTGAGAAATTTCACTACCAGCAGACCCATAAAACAGGAAAATAGAGAGGGAGAAAGAGTTAATTGGAAAAATATAAAACAAAGAAGATGCTAGATTTAAACACAAATATTTAAGTAGTTATACTAAATTCACTCTGACTACTCTAGGAGACAAACATTAGATATATAGATAAACATATAGATTTAAAAAACAATATAAAAAACTTATCTCTATACTCCTTATAAGAGATACATCTTAAGTATAACAACATAAAAGGCTTAAAGCAAATGTTGTAATAAGATGCACTATGCAAATATTAGTATTTGCCAAATAGTAGTAACCAAAGGAGAGTTTGTATACCTATACAAATACCATACGAAGGCGACATTCTGGCAATAAGAATAATTACAGGTGTATAATAACAAAGAGACCATTTTAGCAGGAAGTTGTAACAATTTTAAATGTGTACACACCTATTGATATAACCTAAAAATAAATAAATAAAAGCTTGACAGAACTAAAAGAAGGAAGTAGACAAATACACAATCATGATGAGATTAACATACCTTTCTGAATCGTCGATAGGACAAGCAGACAAAAAATAATCAAAGATAGAAAAGTTTGAACACAATTAAATGTATCTACTAATATAGAACACTGACCTTAGCAACCACAGAAAACTCATGGAAGACTTACCAAAATTAAACATAAGCTGGGTCATAGAGCAAGTCTCAAAAATTTCAAAGGATTAAAATCAATCAATGTGTTCTCTGGTTATAATGAAATTAAACTGGGACTCAATAACAGAAATGCAACTAGAAATTACTCACGTTTTTCAAATTAAATAACACATTTCAAAATTACCCATGAGTCAAAGAAGAAATGACAAAGTTAGAAAATACTTTTAGCTAAATTAATAATGTTCACAAAGATGCAAACAATAAAAATTGTGACAAACAGCTAAAACCATACTTAGAAAGAAATTTTTAGCCTTAAATAAATATCAGAAAATAAAAGAGACCAAAAATCAATTATCTTATCCATACAAGGACCCCAGCCATTGAACTTTAGATCCACCCTCATTTGATGTGACCTCATTTTGACTTAATTATTATATCTGCAAAGAACCTATTTCAACTAAGGTAATATTCACAGGTATGGGGGTTAAAACTTCCACATATCTTTTGGGGTAACATCATTCAACTCACAATACTTAATTGAAAATATGGCCTTTCTATCACATTTGTGTATAGATTTAATGCTCTCTCAATCAAAATTGGGGCAGATTTGCTGTGGAAATTGACAAGATGATTCTACAATTATATGGAAATAAAAGCACCAAGAATAATCAAGGCAATTTGAAAGAAAAAAAAGTCAAAGAGCTTACACACATTCTACAATATCTAAAATGAAAACATTGACATTGACAAGCATTAGCAAGAATGGAAGCAAGGGGAGCCCTCATACGCTACTGTTGGAAGGATAAATTGGAACTATCACTGTGGAAGATTGCTTGGTAGTGAGATAACACAAAGAATTGAAAAATCACGCTTCAAAGATTCAGAGATCTTACCCCACCATCAACAAATAATCACAAGGATATAGGTAATTGTGAGACACAGGAAAAGCAAGACAAGATGGTTGATTACCAATGCCACTCTCCAGTTTCTTACTTGTCATGTTAGGGGGCCTATAAGCAATGCATATGTGGCATCATGTTTACAAATAGAAGCTATTTCAGTTAAGAAACATCTATACTTCATATACTTTTTTTTTTTTTTTTTTTTTTTTTTTTTTTGTGAGACAGAGTCTCACTCTGTCGCCCAGGCTGGAGTGCAGTGGCGCGATCTCGGCTCACTGCAAGCTCCGCCTCCCGGGTTCACGCCATTCTCCTGCCTCAGCCTCCCGAGTAGCTGGGACTACAGGCGCCCGCCAACACGCCCGGCTAATTTTTTTTTGTATTTTTAGTAGAGAGGGGGTTTCACCATGTTAGCCAGGATGGCCTCGATCTCCTGGCCTTGTGATCAGCCCGCCTAGGCCTCCCAAAGTGCTGGGATTACAGGCGTGAGCCACCGCGCCCGGCCTATAGTTTATATTCTAATAATTACATTGCTTGGTTGACATTTTCCTGGAATCTATGTTCTGTAAAGACATGCATTCCAGGTACATTCACAAAAAGCAACATGAACTGTTCTAGTATATCCTGCTAAAAAGAATTCCCTAGATAACGATTCTGCCACCAGTAATTACCATTAATGTCTTTGCCAGGAGGTCTTTCATTAGTGCATTTACTAGATGATTTACCTGAGTCACTTTTCTTTTTTTCCAAGGCATCCCCAATAAAGGGAGAAAACTGATTGCAGAATTGCTGCCAACTCTTTCCTTCCCAGGTAGCATTTATGAAAGCTGAACATATGCACAACCTGAATGCTCAGTATTTCCACTCCTATATCCTATTCAACAGTAGTTAATTATATGGGCACCAAAACACATGTAGCATGCTTTATATAACAATCCCACTTGTGGTAGCCTAAACTGGAAGCAACCCAAATGTCTATCAACAATAAAAAAGAAAAATAAATTGTGGTATATTCATAGATGGAACACTAAATAGCAATGCAAATTAATGAATTATTTCTATACCTAACAACATGGATGAATCTTGAAAACACAATCTTGAGTAAAAGAAAGGAAGCATCAAAGAGTGCACACTATATTATACCATTCAAATAAAGCACCCATAAAAGGCCAAATTAAACTACGGTGTTGTAAGTCAGGTGATGGTTACTTTAAAGAGTATTAGCAAATTGTTAGGGGAATGGTAAGAGTTTCTAGGGTGCTAGTAGTATTCCATTTCTTTATATGAGTGGTAGTTACATGAGTGGAATTTCACTTTGTAACAATTTATTGACCAGTATAGATATGATTTGTGTGCTTTTCTGTATGCATTTTAACATTTAATTTTAAAGTTTGTTTCTTAAATTCCTCATTCTTCCCCAACCTGCCTGAACACCCACCATCTCATTGTGAGTAGATGATTTTGGATGCTACTTCACAGAGAAAAGAGAGGGCATTGGTAGGAATGCTTCGACTTTCTGGCTGCCTGATCTATCACTCTCCCTGCCAAACTCTTCTGCCTCTAAACCTAATCCAGCTTCCTCTCCAGGGACAGTGGAAGAACTAGACGATGCTTGCTCAAAAAAAAAAAAAAACTGCTCTCTCTGTATTCAAGGTTGCCTCCTTGGGAACTTCATGCCATGCCCTGGTCTCCTCCTCGCATCTTTTCCCACTGTTTTGTTTTTCCCAATAGCATCTACACTTATCAATTAGGAAAAACAGACTATGGTCTTAGGTCTTCCTCTTATTCTCCTTCCCCCATACAGCTTCATGAAAGACCTATCTGTGTTTGCCTTATCTATTTCATTATCTTACATTTGCTATCACATCAATGCAATCTAATTTCATTCATGCCATTCTACAAGATGTGCCCAGACCCCATTTGCTAGATTATAAAACTGGTATTTCTCATCCCTTGTTGTACTTTATTTCTATGAAGCGTTTGGCATCTTCCTCTTTAAAAGCCACTGCACATTCTTCTCTCCACATTTCTTTACTACACAGAAAGCTCACAACTAGGTTGTTTGCATGTTCAATGTCAACAGGAGAGTGTCAGCTGCTACTGTTCTCTTTTAAAGGCTACCTAATTAGTGCAGACCCACTCAGAACAATCTCCCTTTTGATTAACTCAAAGTCAACTGATTAGGAACCTCAATTACATCTGCAAAATTCTTCTACCTTTTCCATACAATGTAACATAATCAAAGGAGTGATATCACGTCATATTCGTAGATTTGCCTGCACTCAAGAGGAAGAGATTATACAAGATCATGGGTCACTGGGGGTCACCTTGAAATGCTGCCAACCACAAGGGCCATGACTGGGAAAGACCTTCTAGGGAATGAATTTTTTATGGGGAACTTGTAGAATGAATATGAGATTTCACCAGTATGATGGTTAATTTATGTGTCAGCTTGGCTGGGCTACAGTGTCCAGATAAATGGCCAAACATTATTCTGGATGTTTCTGTGGCTGTGTGTTTTTTAAGCAATTAGTATGTAAATCAGTGGACATTGAGTAAAGGAGATTATCCTCCCTAATGTGGAAGGGCATTATCCAATCATTTGAAGGCCTGAATAGAACAAGACTGACTCCCTCAAACAAGAGAGAATTCTGCAGCAGATGGCCTTCAGATGGCAAAATCAGCTCTTCCTTGGATCTCCAGCCTGTGCTGCAGATTTTGGACTTGCAAGTCTTCACAATCGCATGAGCCACTTCTTTAAAATACAGCTTTCTATATACACACATTGCTATAGCCTGATTGCTTCCTCCCAAAATGCAGAAGTTGAAACTTAATCACCAATGTGATAGTATTAAGAGGTGGGACAGAGCCCTCAGGAATGAGATTAATGATATTGTAGAAGAGGTGCAAGGGAGCTGTTTGGTCCTTTTGCTCTTCTGTCCTTTCCACCATGTGATGACATGGCATTCGTCCCTTCTGGAGGATGCAGCAGCAAGGCATCACTTTGAGAGCAGAGAGCAGCCCTCACCAGACATCAAATGTGTTGGTGCCTTGATCTTGGAACTTCCCAGCCTCCAGAACTGTGAGAAATAAATGTCTGTTCTTTATGAATTACCCAGTCTTAGGTATTTTGTTATAGCAGCACAAATGTGCTAAGACACACATCCTAGTGGTTCTGTTTCTCTGGAGAACCCTAATACAACCAGAAAATAAGTCAAGGGAAGGATTGTGGATAGAGAGAACAGCAAATTCAAATACTAGAAGGTAAAAAGAAATATGGTTCTATTGCTTATAAAACAGCAGAGTTCAGTGTGGATGAAAAATAAGCATTCTATGGGGAGCCATGCTGTTATAAGATACAGGGTTTTGTCCACAGTTCCTGGTTCAGAACTCCCATATCCCTTGTTACAGTCTTTTGTTATTATGTTGAGTGTATTAGGCCTCAGGGGCAGACCTCAGGAATCTCTTGGGCCTTCTCCTGCCTTCTTTTTCACCTGCCCCAAGGCAGGACTCTAATCTTCCCCCACCTTTCTGATTATGGGTCTTAAGACCCTTCCCTGAGAGGGTCCTTCCTCATACCCCAGGGGAAAGAATGCTGACACCATGAAGCTTCCATAAAAATCCAAGAGGACTGGGTTTGGAGAGCTTCCGGACAGCTGAACACATGTAGATTCCTGGAGGGTAGTGCCCAGGGAGGGCATGGAAGCTCCACGTTCCTTTCCCCATACCTCACCCCAGACATCTCTTCATCTATATCCTTTGTCATGTTAAAAATTGGTAAACCTAAATAAGTGTTTCCCTGAGTTCTGTGAGCCACAGCAGCAGATTAATTGAACCCAAAGAAGGGTCATGGGAACCCCAACTTTGAGCTGGTTGGTCAGAAGTTCTGGAGGCCTGGACTTGTAACTGGTGTCTGGGAGGTGGTGGGGGGCAGTCTTGGGGACTGAGTTTCCAACCAGTGAGCTCCCGACCTGTGTTGAATTGGAGGACGCCTAGCTGGTGTCCACTGCATGATGTGTGGGGAAAAACTCCCCGACATTTGGGTCATGGAAGTCGTCTTCTATTTTGATGATTGTTGTGGTAGTGGTGTGAGAGCAAAGGAAGACACAGTTTGAGAAAGGTCTTCCCTACACCTTTCTCAAACAGCAGCAAAAAGATGGGCAACATGGAGAAAACACGACTCTACTAAAAATACAAAAATTGGACGGGCATGGTGGCATGTGCCTGTAGTCCCAACTACTTAGGAACCTGAGGCAGAAGAATTTCTTGAACAGAGTGGGACTGCCAGGGAAGGGAAAGGGAGGGAATGGGAGGGGAGGGGAGGGGAGGCTACACAATTTAACCAGAGCTTAGTTATGGGGGATTTTGCCTTCAGACTAAAGAGCTTGGACTTTGTTATTTAGACCAGTGTTCCCCACCATTTGTCTCATCATGAAAAATACGGAAAATAATATTTGAGTAACAGAATGGAGAAAGCTGCTCCAGCTTCCCCAGATCCCATTCAGTTGCTCAGAGTTTGCTGAGAGGATCGTTTTCTTTCCACCCTTAACAGCCACCACAAGTCCCAAAGTGCCTTGTCACAGGGCTGGGAAGTCGTGCCTTCGGCAATGACTAGCCTTTGGATGGGAAACGTTCCCCTCAAAGCAATGCCCAGGGAGTGGGGAATGGGCAGGGGGTCAGGGAATCAAACTCTAGAAAAGAATGTGAGGGATTTTTTTAAAAATACATTCCTCAAAAGGACTCGTGGGTTTGGAAAAATTGAGAAATGTTGCATTCGATATTTTTGCAGAAATACATAAATGCTTACTCAAATCTAAGTGAGAGGGGGATAGCATCAAAGCAAGGGCAGAGGATTGAGCTCAGGAGAGCTCCTGCAGCCGCCCACCCACCGCTTCCTCCCCAAGGCCGAGCAGTGTCCCAGGCATAATGGGCGACAGTATCAGCTGCCGGTTATGGAGCTCCTACTAAGCAGTCTGCACTGGGCATAGAGCTTGATGCAAGCTTGTTGTAGCCTCCCAGCAACAACAGGAGGTAAATCATGATCGTCAGCAGCTTGTAGGTGAGGAAACTCATAAAGTAAGTTGTCCAAAAATACCAGCTAGTGAGTGACTTTGCTGGATTTAGCCTGCATTTGTCTGACCCCAGAGGTTGCATTCTTAAATCTGATGCCAGATCCCTACCAAATAATCCCAAGCACCAGCTCTGTGCCTCACAAGTCTAAAGGCTTGATGGCATCATTTCATTCATGCCTCCAGACAGCTCCATGTGTAGACAGCAGGGCTATGTTACAGTTAAGAAGACAGCACCTTCCCCAAAGATGTGAGTGCCAAAATCAGACCTCAAATTCTGATCTCCCTAAAGTCAAAGTCTGAATTATTTCCATGTTTAGAGTCTTCCTTTTGTAAGTGAGAAAAAAAATAAAAACCAAAATCTGGAGGCTACTAAGCAGACCTGGACTTGCTAATTACAAAGGTGAGAGTTTGTCCTATGTCTCCCGCCTTTCTCCACATCCTTCCTCACATTTAGCCTTTTATCTTACCCCATCCCAGACTCATTTCCTTGAAGCACCTACATGCAAAACAACTCATCTAATCCCAGCTACTCGGAAAGCTGAGGGAAGATCACTTGAGCCCAGGAGTTCAAGGCTGCAGTGAGCTATGCTTGCACCACTGCACTGTAGCCTGGGCAACAGAGTGAAACCCCACCCGTAAAAAATTAAAATTTTAAATAATCCGTCTTTTACACCTTGGTATACACTTAAGACAATACTTCACCTTTCTAGAGATATTCAATTTTAAGCCTCATTTCCAAACTGTGGAATAAACAGCCTCTCCCCCTGTTAGTTAGGGAATTTTAGGCAAAGATAGGTAGAAATTGATAAGAAAGATTCCAGAAGTTTTGCCATCGATTGTCAACTCACATTTCTCTGGCTCTCTGCAATTGGCTGTCTAATAATTTTCTAAATAAGAATACTTATTATACATAACAGAAGTTTTGTTTTGTTTCTTTTCAGGACAATTGGGAATAATGAGAAAAAAAATATTATCTAGTCTTCTGTGTTAGGGCTTCAACTCCCCCAGTATCATTGAAATAATCCTGAAACATTCACCAAAACAAAACCCTGTTACTCTGCCCTTGGACACAACTTAGGCCTGTGCTGTTTTCTACACTGGTACAACTTCTAGAAATTTTTCTAAACAGAGAAATGTTGGGTGTTCCGAGCTACATTGGAAAATATCAGCCTTCCAGAATGCTGGCATCTTCTCTTCTCGTTCTGCTTTAGAGACATCATCATCACCTTCAGCATGATTTGCCCTTACTGAGAGTCAGGCATTCAATGCACACAACCTTTCATCCTCACGCGCCAGAGCAACCTCCGGAATTACGAATTAGCTCATTTTATAACGAGGAATCTGAGACTCCTGCCTTGAGAACCTGCCCCCTCTTCCACCTCTGTCTCACCTCACTCCAGACTAAGGGGCACATTAGATACGGGGCTCTCAGGGGAAAAAGCAACTTGCCTAATTAAGGAACAAAATTTGATCACTGTAGTTATTTGGCACCTGGTTGTCTAAATGAAGCTTTATTGACTGAAATCTCAAATCAAGTGTCCTGGAGGGGGAGGGCATAAAAAGGCACTAAGCTTGTGTAAGACACACATCACACAGTAAATGCCCAAACTGATTATTCAAAACAAAGGGTAATTCTTTTTACGTTTCCATCCTCTCATTTATGCATAGAGGCTAATATTTGCTTCTATTTCCTCCTTTTTATATTCTATTATATATTTACATATTTATAGAATATATTTTTCTATTCTGTTTCCTTGTTATATTGCTTCTTTTTGATAACAATGTCAGAGAAGGAAACGTCTGGTGAGTTGGTTTGCGCATTTGTGAATTGAGCCTGCCCTCCAGTGGTGAACATAGAAACTGCAGACACACATAGGGTACGGTACGAGGTTAGGGCATGATAGTTAAGCCTGATTTTCCCAGAGCCATTTCTCCTTGTGTCTGCTAATTGCAACTTCCAGCTCCAAGACAAGAAATCATTTCTGGAAAACAGTTCCTTTAATCCCAAAGTACATTTACCTTTGACTTTGTTGAGCAGAAGAGAGAAAGCAGATGGAGAGCGGGGTTTAACGGATAGAGATGTCGGTGGAGAGAGACTCAGTGCCAAATTTTAGGTTTCCCTTTCGGCCCCAAACCCTCCTGATACGGCTTGGCTGTGTCCCCACCCAAATCTCATCCCCAATTGTAGCTGCCATAATTCCCATGTGCTGTGGGAGGAACCCGATGGGAGATAATTGAATCATGAGGGTAGTTTCCCCCATACTGTTCTCGTGGTGGCGAATAATTCTCACAAGATCTGATTTTTTAAGGGGAAACCCATTTCACTTGGTTCTCATTCTTTCTTGCCTGCTGCCATGTAAGATGTGCCTTTCCCCTTCCGCCGTGACTGAGGTCTCCCCTGCCATGTGGAGCTATGAGTCCATTAAACCTTTTTTCTTTATAAATTATCCAGTCTCAGGTATGTCTTTATTAGCAGCTTGAGAACAGACTAATAATACACCTCCCTCACTTCTGCCATCTCCATGCACTGAGGGTGTCAGCAGATGCCTGTCTGTCCAAAACTTCCACCTGCTGCCAAACTTCACCCACCGCCAACCTCCACCCACCACTGCCAGTGCTGCCCGAACAATCGTTCCCTCACTCAATTCCTTGTAAGCACACAGAGCTCAAATCCGCCAAGCTCATTATCTTTTCCCCAAAACTCATTCCTTCACTGGGGTTTGCTCTCTCAGCAAATGGCACCACCATCTGGTCACCCCATGACCTAGACATCTTCCTGTCCCACGGCGCTCCCATCTGACCGGCACGAATCCAGCCCAGGGGCCACTAGACTGTCCCCAGTTTCCCCATACCTCTCTTTTGCCACTATTAGTAAAGCCCTAAATGATCTTTCTGTCCCTATTCCTCTCCCATATGCATCCCTCACTCTGTTCTCTAGGTTGCTATCCAATCAACTTTGTGCAATCTGTGTTCCTTCTGTCTAACCATATTAGACAATGCAGCTAGGTATAATTTAAGGGGGGGAACAAAATATTTCTCACAATATGTATGAGATCAACCAAAAAAGTGAAAATGTAGATGATAGATGCATGTGTGTATGTGCGGTACATATGCACACACAGACTCACACATAGGTGCATCAGAGTGGAAAAGACCTTTCTTAACATAATACAAATACAGAAGCCATAGGAGAAGACCAATAAACTTGACTGCAGACCAATTTTAAAATTTAATAAAGAAAAATTATATAATAAAGGTATGTGAGGGATTTCTTGGCCAAATATCAGAGGATATGCCCTTTCCTTTGGTACATTTTAATATAAATATATGGCAATAAAAAAAATCAGAATTCTAAAAGGCATCAGTCAAAATCTAGTACTCAAATGATTAATATCTACTCAAATTATTATTAAGCAATAATCAGGTATCACAAAAGCTGCTTTCTCAAACTTCTGCTGAGAGGGGGTCTTTCTTTTCATCGATATGTCTGGATGATGGAGACCTCCCTCCACCCATCTTAAGAAGGACCAACGGAGAGGTTTGTCCACCACCTAAGCCCCAAGGATGAGAATGGTTTCTTCTTACCCAACAGTAAAGTTACCCAACCCCCTTTTAGATTCAAGTGGATAAGGAGGATGAGATGAAATTATAGCTCTTCTTACTAGGCTCACTTAAACCTGCCTGAGCTTTCTCTAACAGTGATATTACAGAGTAATAATTCCTCAGTGAGCAAAAGACTTTAGGAATTTGGAGTATATTTTATTCTTCTGTTATTTTCTCTTCTTATAACTTGAGTAAATTTATTTTTCAGAATGAAATTGCTCAGGTCTTGCTCTAAGAACAAAAAATGACAGTCTGTGAAGACTGTCTCTCTCTCCAGGGAAAAAAAGACTGTCAAGTGTATAATAAGGCAAAGAAATGTAAAAGGCCAATACCGTATGCCCTGGCCATGCAGGATTTTTCCAGAAAGAGTCTCCTCACACAAATACCAAATTGTCAGCTTGAATAACAACCTTTCCATGAGCCCTGAAGGCCCCAGGAGAGGTCTGACCTGACTTAACTACCTACAGACGTAACACTGAGAAGTTAAAACACAGGAGAGTGCAGAACAGGGAAACCTGTGACACCAAACTGAGAAGACAAAGCTTAGTAAAAAGCTCTGTAGGAGCCGGGGACAGGAAACTATGCCATGCTTGAGCAGTGACCTCTGGGTAACTTAACCTCTCCTGACAGAAACACTTGATCCCAACAAGATGAGCCCCTCCCTGAAAGCAGGAATGGTGGAGGAGAAATTCCCTTCATAACAGCAAAAATTACAATGGAGAAGCCTTCCCTTCACCACTACCACCAGTAGCACCTCCCAATTCACACATGCATACACAGATGCACACACACACGCACACATACACGCACACAGCCTTTCCTCTTTTACCTCAGCACCGTAACAACCAAATTCAACATGGCTTCCTCTCTCGGGGGAGGAAGCCCACAGCATGTCAAGGAACTCTTGCTTCCTCTTTCAATCGACCTCTCCATCCATACCTAACCCTGATTCCTTGGGCTCATGTGGTTGAGATTTGTGTACTTAAAGGCTCTGAAATGGCCCAAACTGAATGTTTACTAAATTAACTTCAAGGCCAAACTGCACCCTGAGCCAAAACACCCTACACCTCTTTCCCATCTCAGATCATGCCTTGCTGCATGGTCTAATCTACCTCACCAAAAAGTGTGCAAGGAACACAAAAGACATTTTTAAATCCCCAAATTCTTTAGCAACTATATAACAGAATGTACCAAATTGAAACAATATGAAGCCTTTCAAGTAGTAAATGGATAGAGAGAAATCGGGCTCCAGAAATAAGTCCTCTTATATATTATAGCTGAAAAAAATCAATCCCAAAATTTTCACCCTCTCTAAAATTCTTATTCTGCTTAGCCTTAGACAGTGAGTCTCACATTGATGCCTGGGAGGGTCAGGCCTCTGCTTCAGGAGACACAGCCTGAAATGTCACAAAATAAGCACCTTCATCACTTCCCAAGTTGAATTAACCAAACTCAAGTCTCTCCCCTTAAACTACTTATCCAAAGAATCAAAGTAAATAGAAAAATAAGACAGCAAGCCCTACCACCCCAGGCACAAACTGTAGAGAACACAAACAAATAACCAAGCCCCACCGTAGTTACTCCAAACAAATTATCTTCCCAAAATCTGGTATTTAACACAATCCAGAATCACATTAGGAGAAATATACCATAAAAAAGCTAACTGTGGCCGGGCACAGTGGCTCACATCTGTAGTGCCAGCACTTTGGGAGGCTGAGGCAGGAGGATGACTTGAGCCCAGGAGTTCAAGACCAGTCTGGACAAAATGGAGAGATCCTATCTCTACAAAAAAATTAAAAAATAAAGCTAATTGTGATGGGATGCACACCTTTTGCTAGGTAAAATAATTCACCTATACATACTGCACCCTCTCCCAGAAGGACGTTTGAAACATCTCTGCCTTCTAGCAAAATACAGATATTTTTAAGGTGGTGCCTCCAAGTCTCCCGGTCTTCTCTGAGACTTCACTCTCCCAGCAATGCCCACCTTATCTATTTTAAAGCCTTTTTTTTTTTTTTTTTTCTCGGAGACAGATCCTTGCTGTCTTGCCTAGGCTGGAGTGCAGTGGCGCAATCTCAGCTCACTGCAACCTCTGCCTCCCGAGTTCAAGCAATTCTCCCTGCCTCAGCCTCTCGAGTAGCTGGGATTACAGGCACCCACCATCACACCCAGCTATTTTTATATTTTTTAGTAGAGACAGGGTTTCGCCATGTTAGCCAGGCTGGTCTTGAACTCCTAAACTCAGGCAATCTGCCCACCTCGGCCTACCAAAGTACTGGGATTAGAGGTAATGAGCCCCCAAGCCCGGCCTATTTTAAAGCCTTTTAATGTCCAGTTTCCCTTTGAGCCTTGTGTTCATACCACCTTCATACCTAATTGGTTCAGAATTCAGACAGGGAACAGTGACATTTATAAATGGGCTGCCCTTCAAACAACAATCTATTAACCATAATAAGATCCCCCTTCCCAAGCCCCATCTGTAAAGAAACACAGATATGACATATTTCATATCTGTCTGACCTGACTTGTAAGACCTCAGCTTGTCTCCTAAGAAAATTCTTTCCTTCCTCCAGCTCAATTAACAACCTTTCCTTAGTTTTCCTTTCACTTCCCAAGTATTTCCATTCTCAAGTCAAACCCAAAGCCTCATTTTTAAACCATCCTATTTCTCCTTCAGTTTCAAGACAAACCTGATTCTTCCATTTCCTTTCATTTCCTTCTAAATTTTAGAGTAATTCAAATGAATTTATTCTCGGCAGGGCATCGTGGCTCATGCCTGTAATCCCAACACTTTGGGAGGCTGAGGAGAAAAGATTGCTTGAAGCCAGGAGTTCAAGACCAGCCTGGGCATCATAGCAAGACGTTGTCTATACAAAAAATAAAAAAATTAGGCATGGTGGCACGCATCTGTAGTCCTAGCTACTTGAGAGGCTGAGGTAGGAGAATCACTTAAGCCCAGGAGTTTGAGGCTGCAGTAAGCTATGATGGCACCACTGTACTCCAGCCTGGGCAACAGAGCAAGACTCTGCCTCTTAAAAAATTTTTTTAATTTTAAAAAATTTACTCTCATCGTCAGCATAAAAAGATGAGGTAACCCCTATACTTCAATGACCTTCAGTGACCCTTGAGTTTATAACATTTGACACAAAACAATTGTAAAATGCGATGGTAACAGTAATTAAAGGAAATATGTGGGTTGTATGAGACCCGGCATCTCAAGAGGTAGTTTTGATCCACAAATCAGTTTGTGCATATTTTTTTCCTCTAGAATTGATGGATCGCTTAAGCATATTTATACTGTCCTTCCTCAAAGGAAAGATCAGTATCTTCCTTCTTTTTTATTCCCAGCTTTAAGCATAATATCCTACATGTAGAAAAGGCTCTGTGGAGTCAAGCACAGTGGCTCATGCCTGTAATCCCAGCACTCTGGGAGGCTGAGGCAGGTGAATCACTTGAGTTCAGGAGTTCAAGACCAGCCTGGCCAACATGGCAAAACCTTGTCTCTACTAAAAATACAAAAATTAGCCAGGTATGGTGGCAGGCACCTGTAATCCCAGCTACTTGGGAGGCTGAGAGAGGAGAATTGCTTGAACCCAGAAGGCAGAGGTTGCAGTCAGCCGAGGCCGTGCCACTCTACTCCAGACTGGGTGACAGACTGAGACTCCATCTCAAAAAAAAAAAAAAAAAAAAAAAAATGCTCTGTGGACCAGGCATGGTGGCTCACAGCAAGATTACAGGTGTGAGCCACCACGCCCAGCCCACAGCACTTTGGGAGGCTGAGGTAGGAGGATCGCTTGAGTACAGAAGGTTGAGGCTGCAGTGAGCTAAGATGGTGCCACTGTGTTTCAGCCTGGGTGACAGAGCAAGGCCCTGTCTCAAAAAAAAAATAAAAAGGAAATAAGAAAGGGCTCCGTGACTTGGGAAGCACTCCTATGCCTCCTAACAACAACTAAAATCTGAGTCCTATATTCTGTTGTGACCAATTTTCCCTGCACTTGTCTCTGAGCCAAGAGAGCAGGGTCTGGTTTCTGCCTAGGCAGTAAGTGGTTGCATAACTCTGGAGGGTGCTTTCACCTCAGCAGGGCTTGCTTGCCTCAGTTATGAAATGAGTGGATGGAACTTGAACTATCTCCAACATCTCTTCCAGCTCTGTGTTGCCATAAGAATTACTCTTCCATCTTTTAAAGAAGTGGGTGTTATGTTTGGTTTTGTTTTAACAGAATCTCGCTCTGTCACCAGGCTAGAGTGCAGTGGCGAGATCTCAGCTCATTGCAACCTCTGCCTCCCGGGTTCAAGTGATTCTCCTGCCTCAGCATCCCGAGTAGCTGGGACTACAGACGTGCTGCACCAGGCCCAGCTAATTTTTGTATTTTCAGTAGAGACAGGGTTTCACCATGTTGGCCAGGCTAGTCTCTAACTCCTGACCTCAAGTGATCCACCTGTCTCGGCCTCCCAAACTGCTAGGGTTATAGGCATGAGCCACCATACCAGGCCAGAAGTGTGCATTTTGACAGTTAAGATGTTATACCTGTGGGAAGAATATAAGTCATTGTGGAACACACATAGAAGAACTAACTTGATTGTTCACGTAGAGCAGTTAGCAGAGCTTCAAAAAGTACATATGTCATTAGACAGGGAAATACTGAGTTTAAAGTAGGAAAAAGTGGTACATGAATCTACCCTTCAGTAGAATCGTCAGCAGGCAGCAGGCAGCCTGAGGCGCCCAGTGCTTCAGAAGGCTTATCCACAGAGGCAGAGGCTCTCAGGGGAAGGTAGCATGGAGACCTGGGCCATCCTCATGCTTGGCACAAGTCTACCAAGGGGCAGCCTTAGTTCTGCAAAGAAGAGGGAGTCGAACTGATTATTTACCTCTGACATGACCCAGGAAGCTAGCATTTGCAGATTCCCTTCCTTTTTTTTTTTAGATAGGTCAATAATTCTTTCATAACTGCTTTTCTGTCTTGGGTTCCTGCACTTTATTGGATCTGACTGTTGCCTTTAATAATTCAGCCCACAGTGGCATCCTCACACAGCTGGGTTCTCTCTAAGTGTTCTATAAATGGACATACTAATATCTATGGGGCTTCTCACAGCACATCTGCTTCCTTGGACTTTCAAACACCCCACCTTGGTGAGAATGCCCTCTCTTCCAATAAAGGACTAGGTGTCACGGCATTTCAAAATACAAGTCCTGGACACACACAGCACACTGTTGGTTCAGGATATCAAAGGGGCTACTGGGGAGAAAAGCTATTAGGGACAGCTGGCGGGCCTGATTCTATAAAACAGCAGGGTTAATGGCACATTTATCCAACAGCTAAGATCAGGAATTAAACCTTAATACTCTATAAGAAAAGCAAACAGAAACTCGATCAGGCTTAAAGAAAAATTGTGTATCACTGAGAAGTGAAAAATAAATCAATTCTTCAATCACATTCACAAAGTTTCCCAGGGAGAAACTCAGTGTTTTTTTGTTTTTGTGTTTTTGTTTTTGTTTTTTTAATCTATAGGCCCAAATTCTACTCACTGTACTCACCATGCACAAACACACAGACATGGACACATTCACGTACACAGAGCTACAAAATATTTAAATCCCACCAATTTCATTTACATACTTAATTATACCAATCAACATTTTAGTGCTGATAAATGCACAAAATTGTGTTTCAAATTTTTTTTATTCTATTTCTTCTTGCAACATTAAGCACACTGAATGGTGTTTTTGTTTTGTTTTGGTTTGGTTTTTTGAGACAGTCTCTCTCTGTCACTCAGGATGGAGTGCAGTGGAGTGATCACGGCTCACTGCAGCCTCCACCTCCTAGTGAGAGATGACAGCCTGCTGGCAGCCCTCGCTCACTCTTGGCGCCTCCTCGGCCTTGGCGCCCACTCTGGCCACGCTTGAGGAGCCCTTCAGCCCACCACTGCACTGTGGGAGCCCCTTTCTGGGCTGGCCAAGGCCGGAGCCGGCTCCCTCAGCTTGCGGGGAGGTGTGGAGGGAGAGGCGGGAGCGGGAACCGGGGCTGTGCGCGGCGCTTGCTGGCCAGCGTGAGTTCCGGGTGGGCGTGGGCTCGGTGGGCCCCGCACTTGGAGCTGCCGGCCGCCCGACCGGCCCTGGGCAGTGAGGGGCTTAGCACCTGGGCCAGCAGCTGCCGTGCTCGATTTCTCACTGGGCCTTAGCTGTCTCCCCATGGGGCAGGGCTGGGGACCTGCAGCCCACCATGCCTGAGCCTCCCCCACCATGCCGTGGGCTCCTGCGCGGCCCGAGCCTCCCCAACGAGCACTGCTCCCTGCTCCACAGAGCCCAGTCCTATCGACCACCCAAGGGCTGAGGAGTGCGGGCTAACGGCTGGGACTGGCAGGCAGCTCCACCTGCCACACTGGTGCGGGATCCACTGGGTGAAGCCAGCTGGGCTCCTGAGTCTAGTGGGGACTTGGAGAACCTTTATAAAGTCTAGCTAAGGGATTGTAAACACACCAGTCAGCACGCTGTGTCTAGCTCAGGGTTTGTAAATGCACCAATCGGCACTCTATATCTAGTTAATCTGGTGGGGACTTGGAGAATCTTTGTCTAGCTAAGGGATTGTGAATGCACCAATAGACACTCTGTATCTAGCTAATCTAGTGGAGAGGTGGAGAACTTTTGTGTCTAGGTCAGGGACTGTAAATGCACCAATCAGCACCCTGTCAAAATGGACCAATCAGCTCTCTGTAAAACACACCAATCGGCTCTCTGTAAAATGGACCAATCAGCAGGATGTGGGTGGGGCCAGATAAGGGAATAAAAGCAGGCTGTGCCAGCCAGAAGTGGCAACCCGCTGGGGTCTCCTTCTACACTTTGGAAGCTTTGTTCTTACGCTCTTTAAAATAAATCTTGCTGCTGCTCACTCATTGGGTCCACACTGCCTTTATGAGCTGTAGCACTCACCATGAAGGTCTGCAACTTCACTCCTGAAGCCAGCGAGACCACGAACCCACCAGAAGGAAGAAACTCTGAACACATCTGAACATCAGAAGGAACAAACTCCAGACACGCCGCCTTTAAGAACTGTAACACTCACTGCGAGGGTCCGCGGCTTTATTCTTGAAGTCAGTGAGACCAAGACCCTACCAATTCCGGACACACTAGGCTTAAGGGATCCTCCCACCTCAGCCTCCTAAGTAGCTGGGACTACCGGTGCACCACCCTACCCAGCTAATTTTTTATTTTTATACAGATGAGGCCCCACTTTGCTTCCCTGGCTGGTCTGGACCTCATGGGCTCAACAATCCTCCTACCTCAGCCTCCCAAAGTGCTAAGATGACAGGTGTGAGACATGGCGCCCAGCTGAGTGGTGTTTTTTTAACCTCACTGAATACTCAAATCATAGGTCCCTCATCTTCATCAATAAGTCAGACCACATTTTTTCCATATAACCAATAGCTCTCAATTTAGTGTCCTAGATTACTTCTTATAACCAAAAACTTCTCACCGGAAGAGGTTTTCTGTTAGCTTTAGACTTCACATAAAGTTTTCCCAAAACTCTGATGGAAGTTCCAAGACAACGTAGAAAGTGTCTTTCTCCATGTAGGAGATGGGGTCACTTGGAAAGGATACCTGTTAGATGAGAATCTTCATATTGAGGCTTTTACTGTGAGACAGGGGAAAGGAAAAATGCTAAACACAACACTCTAAGAGCCCTTCAAAGCAATAAACCCTCTAAACATAAAAAGTCACACAACCGGGCTGGGCACGGTGGCTCGCGCCTACAGTCCCAGCGCTTTGGGAGGCTGAGACAGGCAGATCACGAGGTTAGGGGTTCGAGACCAGCCTGACCAACATGGTGAAACCCCATCTCTACTAAAAATACAAAATTTAGTCAGGCGTGGTGGTGCGCACCTATAATCCCAGCTAATCAGGAGGCTGAGGCAGGAGAATCACTTGATGCTGGTAGGCAGAAGTTGCAGTGAGCCGAGATCTCGCCACTGCACTCCAGCCTGGGTGACAGAGCAAGCCTCTCTCAAATAAAGGTCACACAACCATGTGCAATAACCAGGACACACACAGGAATAATCCTACACCAACTGTTCCCAATCGCGCATCCATCCACCACCTCAACTCCTTCCTCATGTCCCATCCACTTGCAAAGACGTGACTGCCATCTGGTATGAGAAGACAATTATGATCTTGATTCCTCCTGGTACCTTCATACAGCTAGGTTCCTTCCATGTTTTCCATGAGTAACACACAGATATCCATGGAACTTGCCAGCCACTCGCAGCCAACTCCCTCAACCATTGTACATCAGTGCAAAACACTCAGGACTTGACTTCACTCACTTCCTAGTAGTCAATCACATGCTGGAGGTAGGATCTTTAAGCCTGCTTATGAAAATAACACCATGGTTTGAACTATTCTGGGCTGAGGAACCCAGGAAAAGTAATCTCTTTTGCAACTTGTTAACTGGTTAACATAAAACTTGCATTTTAGATATCATAGGATTGGGTATAAAACAATAAAGTTAATATTTAAACATTGATGCTCTTACAATCATAAGTAGTCTGACTACCTTATTTTTTTTTTAAAGTCCCCCAGGCTGGAGTGCAGTGGCACCATCATAGCTCACCACAGCCTTGAACCCCTGTCTTCAAGCAATCTTCCCACTCATACCCCAAACTAGCCAGGAGTACAGGCACATGCCACCATGCCTAACTACAGGGATTCACTACATTGCCCAGGCTGGTCTCAAATGCCTGGGCTCACGTGATCCACCCACCTCAGCTTCCCAAAGTGCTGGAATTACAGGTATGAGCCACCACGTCCACCTGTTTCTTTTCTTTTGGCTTATAAGTACACACCTTATCTTTTTACAAAACAAGTAGCAGAATAGAAGTAATTCTTAAGCTATATGTTAGTTATATCCGCATGCGTGTAAATCAAGTTACAAACAAATAATTTTAAGTGGTCTCACAAGAAGGTTTTTTTTGAAAGCAAACACCTATAATTTGTGATACAATGATGCCCCTAAATTTATACCATTGATAAATTTCTATCTTTATTTCCTAAGATATTATCTTAAAGTGAAACCTGCTTCTATCAACTAAAAAATAAGAACTAATAATGAACTAGGACCTCTGACAAGAATAGAAAATTCATCTCTCTTATCCTCCACTGCTGGCAGTCATCTCAGATAAAATGTTTTTGGATTTTAGGTGTAAGAAAATATAGGAAGGCCAAGGCAGGAGGATTGCTTGAGGCCAGGAGTTCCAGACCAGCCTGGGCAACATAGCAAGACCTTGTTTCCACAAAGAAACAATTTTTGATTAGCTAGGTATGGTGGCATGCAACTGTAGTCCCAGTTGCTCAGGAGGCTACAGCAGGAGGATCATTTGACCCAAGAAGTTCAAGGATACAGTGAGCTATGAACACACCACTGCACTCCAGCTTGGGCAACACGGCAAGACCCTGTCTCAAAAAAAAAAAGAAAGAAAGAAAAAAAGAAAAAGAAAATATATGTAACTCTACTTTTTGCAACTAAAGATACAACAGGAACTTCCCCTGGAGAGCTTCGTCACAGTAACACTCCACTAGCAGAAACGCCCACCATTCTGAGCCTCACGGAAACTGAGAAAGACCTGAAGGATAGTTCCCACCTTGTTGCTGTGAAAGGCTAAAAGAAATAAAAATAAAAAGCAAAGTTCTGGATCTCCCACCCTCACTTCTTTCTATGGCCTCTTAAAAAGAAGCTCCTTAAGACGTTTTCCCACTTTAAAACTTTTAATAGTAAATGTTATTTAAAGTTATTTTAGGCCAGGTACAGTGACTCATGCCTGTAATGCTAGCACTTTGCGGGGCTGAGGCAGTCATATCACTTGAGTTGAAGAGTTCAAGACTAGCCTGGACAACATGGCGAAACCCCATCTCTAGAGAATATACAAAAATTAGCCAGGTGTGGTGGCACGTGCCCGTAGTCCCAGCTACTTGGTAGGCTCAAGTGAGAGAATCACTTTGAGCCCAGGAGGTCAAGGCTGAGTGAGCCATGGTTGTGTCACTGCACTCCAGCCTGGGTAACAGAGCAAGACTCTACCTCAAAAAATAGTAATAAAATAAAAATAAAGCTATTTTAGAGCACTGTCAGAAGGAACAAAGCTACTGTTTTCACTGCTGCAACTTTCAGAGGCATTCGAACCAGAGCGACTCAATTTTGAGTGAGGGCTAGGAAAATGAGGCTGAGATTTGCTGGGCTGCGTTCCCAGAAAATTAGGTATTCCTAGCCTCTAGATGTTTGTGGTTAAGGGAACAAATTTATAATGTTTACTAAAACAGACCCAGACTTGGGAGTGTCCAGATATTTCGATATCTGGAGAACAAAGGCATTCCTAATTTTGCTTTAAAGATAATAATATTGATTCTTACAGAATATAGTAATTAAGAAAATTAATCCTTTATCACATCACCCTTGCAGCAGAACACATCTCTGCATATATACAAGTATTGTACCTAGGGTGGACACATTCCTCCTCTTACTTTCAGGAACGTCCTACTCTGTCTATGGAGTAGCTGTCCTTTCACCACTTTACTTCCTTAATAAACTTGCTTTTACTTTGCACTGCAGACTCGCCTTGAATTCTTTCTTGTGCAAGATCCAAGAACCTTCTCTTGGGGTCTGGATCAGGACTCCTTTCCTGTAACACAACTGCTGTTCTGAAGCAACAAGCAGGGGTAGCTGAAGGTGACCTCGAACCGTGTGTTGCTTGAGATCACAGGTTCTGGCTTTGTAAGGTATGGCATGTTAAACCTTAAAGCAGATGGCCTGGACAATGTCACATCTGCTGAAGACTTTTCCAGTCATCAGTTCAGAGACTAAAGTGTCCATCCAAGAAACGTAAGTTCCAACGCTCTTGGGAAGTGAACCTTCTGGTGACCCTGAGTGAGTGCCAAAATGGAAATTTGTTCTGCAGACAGATTCTCTTCTCATTGCTTTCCTCATGACCTTCCCAGGAAAGCGTTTGGAGTTTGGATTGATACTCACAAGCTATTGAACAATTGGTGGGTTTCAAAGATGTGGAGGTTGGTGACTTACCACTATCTGAGAGAACATTAGTCTATGCTACGTAAACACCCTGGAAAATAGGAGACATCCACAAAGAAGCCTAAGAAACAAGCAGTAAAAGGCAGAAGCCTGCTTTTCCCCAAGAAGTGGGAACTTGTTTGAAAGAGAATGAGTCGTTCAGAAATAAAGATGACTTTCAGATGGAGTCTGAGGGGTTCCCCTGGAATCTGCTTAAGAAAGCTTGAGTGCCTTAAAAGTGGCCCCAGAAAAGGGCGTGAGTCACTCATTTCTCTCATAGATTAAGCACAAGGAAAGCCCTGGCAGGCACCATTTATCATGACAAAAGGCAAGAAAGCCTCTGCTAATTACAGCCCTGGAGGGAGGCAGCACTTCCTGCCTCTACACTGGGCTGTCACACAAGTGAATCACCCTCTGCTGTAGCCACCCTGGGAAGCAGCTCAGGGCCTCCTGGAACTGCACTATCTGGAATAGCCTAAGACCAAACGGTGACTGAAGTGTGCCCCTCATATCCCCGCAAAGTGCCCTTTCCCTCCTGCTTTTGGCTCCTGAGCAGAAGAAGAACAGTAGCTCCTCTCACCTGAGATATAGAGCTTTTCTAGTTTGCCTTATTCCTAGGACATTTCTGGAAAAAAAAAAAAATAGCCTAACTTCCACCTCTATACACTTCACAAGAACAGCTCCAATCCCAATCTACTTCTCTAGCCTGGAACCCACTCCTGAATTCCCGATTCTCTCTCCTGTTTCCAAAGGCAGTCTCTTCTACATTGCTATCTGGATATCTTTTGGTGGTGGAGGGTTGTTGAGGTTTGTATGATTGTTTTGTTTTGTTTTGTTTTTGTAGAGACAGGGTCTCCCTATGTTGCCCAGGCTGGCCTCGAACTCCTGAGGCTCAAGTGATCATCCGCCTCAGCCTCCCGAAGTGCTGGGATTACAGGCATGAGCCACTGCACATGCAGTCAAAAATCCACATGTAATTTTTGACTCTCCAAAAACCTAACTACTAGTAGTCTGACTAGAAGCCTTACTAATAACATGAACAGTCCATTAACAGATTTTGTGCATTATATGTATTATATACTGTGTTCTTACAATAAAGCAAGCTAGAAAAAAGAAAATGTTACTAAGAAAATCCTAAGAAAGAGAAAATGTAATTACCATTCATTAAGTGGAAGTGGATCATCCTACAGGTCTTCACGCTCATTGTCTTCACATTGAGTATGCAGAAGAGGAAGAGGAAGAGGGGTTGGTTTTGCTGTCTCGGGGTGACAGAGGCAGAAGGAAATTCAATTATGAGTGGACCCTCACAGCTCAAACTTGTGTTGTTCAAGGGTCAACCACATATCATAAATCTGGAAGAAATTTGACACTCATGTCTACCAGGCAGGCCAGCACTTGACACCATGTTGCAGTTAGGGCCTAGGCTGGATATCTTCTACTTGTTCTATTATATTTACTCTCAATCTTTCCCCATACCAATTGAGCTCAGGAGATTGACCCCCATGAGACAACATCAATGGGATCCTTTGTCTTCTGGCTTGTGAGAGGATGTGACCAGTGGAAGGCACTCGGGAGTAATAGGGGAGAGAAATAAAAAGGGGTTTGCCACTGCATGTTCTCACTCATAAGTGGGACTTGAACTATGAAAACACATGGACACAGGGAAGGGAACATCACATACCGGGGCCTGTCGAGGGGTAGAGGGCAAGGGGAGGGAGAGCATTAGGACAAATACCGAATGCATGTGGGGTTTAAAACCTAGATTGAGGAGTTGATAGGTGCAGCAAACCACCACGGCACATGTATACCTATGTAACAAACATATACATTCAGCACATGTATCCCAGAACTTAAAGTAAAATTAAATAAAAATAAAAAAAGAAAGATGGACAAAGGGCCCTAGGCAGTTAATTAGCACAAATAAACTACACACTGCCAATAAACAGAATAAATATGAAAGAAAGAAAGAGAGACAGAGAAAAAAGAAAGAGAGAGAAAAGGTCTGTGGGGGGGGGCGGGGTGGAGCCAAGATGGCCGAATAGGAACAGCTCCAGTCTACAGCTCCCAGCGTGAGCAACGCAGAAGACGGGTGATTTCTGCATTTCCAACTGAGATACTGGGTTCATCTCACTGGGGACTGTAGGGAAGTGGATGCAGAACAGTGGGTGCAATGCACTGAGAGTAAGCCAAAGCAGGACGAGGCATCGCCTCACCCGGGAAGTGCAAGGGGTCAGGGAATTCCCTTTCCTAGTCAAAGAAAGGGGTAAGAGATGGCACCTGGAAAATCAGGTCACTCCCACCCTAATACTGTGCTTTTCTAACGGGCTTAAAAATGGCACACCAGGAGGTTATATCCTGTGCCTGGCTCAGAGGGACCTATGCCCACGGAGCCACGGAGCCATGCTCATTGCTAGCACAGCAGTCTGAGATCAAACTGCAGGGCGGCAGCAAGGCTAGGGGAGGGCGCCCACCATTTCCGAGGCTTGAGTAGGTAAACAAAGCAGCCAGGAAGCTCGAACTGGGTGGAGCCCACCGCAGCTCAAGGAGGCCTGCCTGCCTCTGTAGACTCCACCTCTGGGGGCAGGGCATAGCCAAACAAAAGGCAGCAGAATCCTCTGCAGACTTAAATGTCCCTGTCTGACAGCTTTGAAGAGAGTAGTGGTTCTCCCAGCACGCAGCTGGAGATCTGAGAATGGACAGACTGCCTCCTCAAGTGCGTCCCTGACCCCCGAGTAGCCTAACTGGGAAGCACCCCTCAGTAGGGGCAGACTGATACCTCACACAGCTGAGTACTCCTCTGAGACAAAACTTCCAGAGGAACGATCAGGCAGCAACATTTGCTGCTCACCAATATCTGCTGTTCTGCAGCCTCTGCTGCTGATACCCAAGCAAACAGGGTCTGGAGTGGACCTCCAGCAAACTCCAACAGACCTGCAGCTGAGGGTCCTGACTGTTAGAAGGAAAACTAACAAACAGAAAGGACATCCATACCGAAATCCCATCTGTACGTCACCATCATCAAAGACCAAGGGTAGATAAAACCACCAAGATGGGGAAAAAACAAAGCAGAAAACCTGGAAACTCTAAAAATCAGAGTGCCTCTCCTCCTCCAAAGGAACTCAGCTCCTCACCAGCAACGGAACAAAGCTGGATGGAGAATGACTATGACGAGTTGAGAGAAGAAGGCTTCAGACTATCAAACTACTCCGAGCTAAAGGAGGAAGTTCGAACCCATGGCAAAGAAGTTAAAAACCTTGAAAAAAGATTAGACGAATGGCTAACTAGAATAACCAATGCAGAGAAGTCCTTAAAAAACCTGATGGAGCTGAAAACCATGGCACAAGAACTACGTGATGAATGCACAAGTCTCAGCAGCTGATTCGATCAACTGGAAGAAAGGATATCAGTGATGGAAGATCAAATGAATGAAATGAAATGAGAAGAGAAGTTTAGAGAAAAAAAAATAAAAAGAAATGAACAAAGCCTCCAAGAAATATGGGACTATGTGAAAAAACCAAATCTACGTCTGATTGGTGTACCTGAAATCGACGGGGAGAATGGAACCAAGTTGGAAATCACTCCGCAGGATATTATCCAGGAGAACTTCCCCAATCTAGCAAGGCAGGCCAACATTCAGATTCAGGAAATACAGAGAACACCACAAAGATACTCCTCGAGAAAAGCAACTCCAAGACAAATAATTGTCAGATTCACCAAAGTTGAAATGAAGGAAAAAATGTTAAGGGCAGCCAGAGAGAAAGGTTGGGTTACCCACAAAGGGAAGTCCTTCAGACTAACAGCTGATCTCTCAGCAGAAACTCTACAAGCCAGAAGAGAGTGGGGGCCAATATTCAACATTCTTAAAGAAAAGAATTTTCAACCCAGATTTTCATATCCTGCCAAACTAAGCTTCATAAGTGAAGGAGAAATAAAATCCTTTACGGACAAGCAAATGCTGAGAGATTTTGTCACCACCAGGCCTGCCCTACAAGAGCTCCTGAAGGAAGCACTAAACATGGAAAGGAACAACTGGTACCAGCCACTGCAAAAACATGACAAATTGTAAAGACCATTGATGCTAGGAAGAAACTACATTCACTAATGTGCAAAATAACCAGCTAACATCATAATGACAGGATCAAATTCACACATAACAATATTAATCTTAAATGTCAATGGGCTAAATGCTCCAATTAAAAGACACAGACTGCCAGACTGGATAAAGAGTCAAGACCCATCAGTGTGCTGTATTCAGGAAACCCATCTCACGTGCAGAGACACATATAGGCTCAAAATAAAGGGATGGAGGAAGATCTACCAAGCAAATGGAAAACAAAAAAAGGCAGGGGTTGCAATCCTAGTCTCTGATAAAACAGACTTTAAACCAACAAAGATCAAAAGAGACAAAGAAGGCCATTACATGACGGTAAAGGGATCAATTCAACAAGAAGAGCTAACTATCCTAAATATATATGCACCCAATACAGGAGCACCCAAATTCATAAAGCAAGTCCTTAGAGACCTACAAAGAGACTTAGACTCCCAAGCAATAATAATGGGAGACTTTAACACCCCACTGTCAACATTAGACAGATCAATGAGACAGAAAGTTAACAAGGATATCCAGGATTTGAACTCAGCTCTGCACCAAGCGGACCTAATAGACATCTACAGAACTCTCCACCCCAAATCAATAGAATGTACATTCTTTACAGCACCACACCACACTTATTCCAAAATTGACCACATAGTTGGAAGTAAAGCACTCCTCAGCAAATGTAAAAGAACAGAAATTATAACAAACTGTCTCTCAGACCACAGTGCAATCAAACTAGAACTCAGGATTAAGAAACTCACTCAAAACCACTCAACTACATGGAAACTGAACAACCTGCTCCTGAATGACTACTGGGTACATAACGAAATGAAGGCAGAAATAAAGATGTTCTTTGAAACCAATGAGAACAAAGACACAACATACCAGAATCTCTGGGACACATTCAAAGCAGTGTGTAGAGGGAAATTTATAGCACTAAATGCCCACAAGAGAAAGCAGGAAAGATCTAAAATTGACACCCTAACATCACAATTAAAGGAACTAGAGAAGCAAGAGCAAACACATTCAAAAGCTAGCAGAAGGCAAGAAATAACTAAGATCAGAGCAGAACTGAAGGAGATAGAGACACAAAAAACCCTTCAAAAAATCAATGAATCCAGGAGCTGGTTTTTTGAAATGATCAACAAAATGGATAGACCACTAGCAAGACTAATAAAGAAGAAAAGAGAGAAGGATCAAATAGATGCAAGAAAAAATGATAAAGGGGATATCACCACCAATCCCACAGAAATACAAACTACCATCAGAGAATACTATAAACACCCCTACACAAATAAACTAGAAAATCTAGAAGAAATGGATAAATTCCTGGACACATACACACTCCCAAGACTAAACCAGGAAGAAGTTGAATCTCTGAATAGACCAGTAACAGGCTCTGAAATTGAGGCAATAATTAATAGCTTACCAACTAAAAAAAGTCCAGGACCAGATGGATTCACAGCCAAATTCCACCAGAGGTACAAGAAGGAGCTGGTACCATTCGTTCTGAAACTATTCCAATCAATAGAAAAAGAGAGAATCCTCCCTAACTCATTTTATGAGGCCAGCATCATCCAGATACCAAAGCCTGGCAGAGACACAACAAAAAAAGAGAATTTTAGGCCAATATCCCTGATGAACATCGATGCACAAATCCTCAACAAAATACTGGCAAACTGAATCCAGCAGCACATCAAAAAGCTTATCCACCATGATCAAGTGGGCTTCATCCCTGGGATGCAAGGCTGGTTCAACATACAAAAATCAATAAACATAATCTAGCATATAAACAGAACCAATGACACAAACCACATGATTGTCTCAATAGATGCAGAAAAGGCCTTTGACAAAATTCAACAATGCTTCATGCTAAAAACTCTCAATAAATTAGGTATTGATGGGATGTATCTCAAAATAATAAGAGCTATCTATGACAAACCCACAGCCAGTATCATACTGAATGGCAAAAACTGGAAGCATTCCCTTTGAAAACTGGCACAAGACAGTGATGCCCTCTCTCACCACTCCTATTCAACATAGTGTTGGAAGTTCTGGCCAGGGCAATCAGGCAGAAGAAGGAAATAAAGAGTATTCAATGAGGAAAATAGGAAGTCAAATTGTCCCTATTTGCAGATGACATGATTGTATATCTAGAAAACCCCATCCTCTCAGCCCAAAGTCTCCTTAAGCTGATAGGCAACTTCAGCAAGTCTCAGGATACAAAATCAATGTGCAAAAATCACAAGCATTCTTATACACCAAAAACAGACAAACAGAGAGCCAAATGATGAGTGAACTCCCATTCACAATTGCTTCAAAGAGAATAAAATACCTAGGAATTCAACTTACAAAGGATGTGAAAGACCTCTTCAAGGAGAACTACAAACCACTGCTTAATGAAATAAAAGAGGATACAAACCAATGGAAGAACATTCCATGCTCACAGGTAGGAAGAATCAATATTATGAAAATGGCCATACTGCCCAAGGTAATTTATAGATTCAATGCCATTCCCATCAAGCTACCAATGACTTGCTTCACAGAATTGGAAAAAACTACTTTAAAGTTCATATGGAACCAGAAAAGAGCCTGCATTGCCAAGTCAATCCTAAGCCAAAAGAACAAAGCTGGAGGCATCACACTACCTGACTTCAAACTATACTACAAGCCTACAGTAACCAAAACAGCATGGTACTGGTACCAAAACAGAGATATAGACCAATGGAACAGAACAGAGTCCTCAGAAATAATGCCACATATCTACAACTATCTGATCTTTGACAAACCTGACAAAAACAAGGAATGGGGAAAGGATTCCTATTTAACAAATGGTGCTGGGAAAACTGGCTAGCCATATATAGAAAGCTGAAACTGGATCCCTTCCTTACACCTTATACAAAAATTAATTCAAGATGGATTAAAGACTTACATGTTAGACCTAAAACCATAAAAACCCTAGAAGAAAACCTAGGCAATACCATTCAGGACATAGGCACAGGCAAGGACTTCATGTCTAAAATACCAAAAGCAATGGTAACAAAAGCCAAAATTGACAAATGGGATCTAATTAAATTAAAGAGCTTCTGCACAGCAAAAGAAACTACCATCAGAGTGAACAGACAACCTACAGAATGGAAGAAAATTTTTGCAATCCACTCACCTGACAAAGAGCTAATATCCAGAATCTACAATGAACTCCAACAAATTTACAAGAAAAAACAAACAACCCCATCAAACAGTGGGCGAAGGATATGAACAGACACTTCTCAAAAGAAGACATTTATGCAGCCAAAAGACATATGAAAAAATGCTCATCATCACTGGCCATCAGACAAATGCAAATCAAAACCACAATGAGATACCATCTCACACCAGTTAGAATGGCGATCATTAAGAAGTCAGGAAACAACAGGTGCTGGAGAGGATGTGGAGAAATAGGAACACTTTTACACTGTTGGTGGGACTGTAAACTAGTTCAACCATTGTGGAAGTCAGTGTGGCGATTCTTCAGGGATCCAGAACTAGAAATACCATTTGACCCAGCAATCCCATTACTAGGTATATACCCAAAGGATTATAAATCATGCTGCTATAAAGACACATGCACACGTATGTTTATTGCGGCACTATTCACAATAGCAAAGACTTGGAACCAACACAAATGTCCAACAATGATAGATTGGATTAAGAAAATGTGGCACATATACACCATGGAATACTATGCAGCCATAAAAAATTATGAGTTCATGTCCTTTGTAGGGACATGGATGAAGCTGGAAACCATCATTCTCAGCAAACTATCACAAGGACAAAAAACCAAACACTGCATGTTCTCACTCATAGATGGGAATTGAACAATGAGAACACATGGACACAGGAAGAGGAACATCACACACCGGGGCCTGTTGTGGGGTCAGGGGAGAGGGGAGGGATAGCATTAGGAGGTATATCTAATGTTAAATGATGAGTTAATGGGTGCAGCACACCAGCATGGCACATGTATACTTATGTAACTAACCTGCACATTGTGCACATGTACCCTAAAACTTAAGGTATAATTTAAAAAAAAAAGAAAGAGAAAAGAAAAAGTAAAAAACAAAAATGAAAATAAAAAAGGTCAAAGGGTTTGTTTTCCCTGCTACCTCCTTTGAGTAGCTTCCTCCTTCTCCCAAAGGCCAAGCTTTGACAGGCAGGTATCTGCCCAGAGCTTGCCTCTCCAGATCCAGGACCATCCTCCCATTGCCTCTTCCAGCCGGTGCTGTCAACTTCCCACAGTTACTAACCTGTAGTCCTATAATTGCATCAGCTAGCTTCCTCAAACCTTACCTGCACCTCTAGGCATAGTCCCCTATTAAATCCTCTTCCAAATAACTAGTTTGGGCATGCCATTTGTTTCTTGACAGGACCCTGACTGATAGAGTCATTGTTGCCTAGAGTGAAACTAGGAAAAAGACTTTCAAAACGGGATTCTTGGTTGAGCTTATCATACATATTTGAGAAGCTCGCAAATAACCTCCTTGTTAAACTCCTTGTTAAAAGGAAGTGGGGTTCTAGTAACCCATGGCATGTGTTGGCATCACCATTACTTAGATCATCACAGGTAGGGATGGGATGAACTGCAGGTAGGAGGCAAGTTGCTGAAAAATAAACTGTCTGGGATATATCATTGCTATGGCAACAACAGTACTTATAAAACATGTAGGGCTGATTATAAAGATTATGGGACCAGCTGGCTTTTTCTGATTTCCCTAGAGAGGATACCTAGGGGAAAGAAGAAATTGGAGTTGGTAATCATTCAACTCAAAACAAACATAGAAAACCAGGCCAGGCACAGTGGCTCACACCTGTAATCCCAACACCTTGGGAAGGCAGGAGGCTCACTTGAGCCCAGGAGTTCAAAACCAGCCTAGGCAATGTAGACCCTGGCTCTACCAAAAAAAAAAAAAAAAGTTTTTAATTAGTCAGTTATGGTGGTGCATACCTGTGGTCCCAGCTACTCAGGAGGCTGAGGTGGGAGGATTGCTTGAGCCCAAGAATTCAAGGCTGCAGTGAGCCATGATTGTACCACTGCACTCCAGCCTGGGTGACAGAATGAGATTCTGTCTCAGTAGGAAAGAAAGAAGGAAGGAAGGAAGGAAGGAAGGAAGGAAGGAAGGAAGGAAGGAAGGAAGGAAGGAAGGAAGGAAAGAAGGAAGGAAGGAAGGAAGGTAGGTAGATTGGTTAAGAGTCCTTTGTCTTACGCAGTAACAGAATAAATAGCTGAGGCCCAAGAGCAAGCCTGTTTTTAGGAGACATAGAGTTGAAAAACCCACTAAGTGGTCAGCACTGTCATGTCTGTTCACCACGATAAGGGTATTGGTTGGTGATGAAGGAGGGGAAGCCTGAGATAGGGAAGAGGTCATCTGAGCAATCAGAAATGAGGCTGAGTGTGTTGAACCCCCAGATCTTTTTGGACCTTCCTTGAAAGCGGAATCAATCCCTCTCCACTCTGAGTTTCGCTGCCTTTTTCCTGGGGCAGAAAAAAATTTTCAATGATTGTACCGGGGGTAGTTGCTTCAAAAATGAATGTTTCTTATGCTCAGGACCTGGCCAGACCCTCAACCATTCTTGTCTCCAAGTTCATGATGAGAGTTTGAGCCTAACAGAGATAGGACAAGGAAGTGCAATGTCCCCTACAGGATTCTGAAGGATATGTATGGGAGCAATTTGAAGGGCATGGCACCAGGAAACTGAAATATATAAAGCTGTTTGGACTGCATGTATTGATATGGGTATGTGTAACCCAGAATTAGAATTTAATAAACTGGCTTCAGTGCCAGGGAGTAGTGTTACCAGTCTACTGGATTGGTTAACTGAAGCCTGGACTCAAGAGTGAGAAGCAGTCAATGAGGTTAACATGCTAAAAATCCTCTGGTTTACTGTAGAAGAAGGAATCCAAAAGCTCAGTGAGGTGGAGATGTTGAAACAGATATATTATGAGCGACCTCCATAGCCACTCCTACCCTTACCCACTAGAAGGACCTGAGGACACTGCCTTCACCAAGACATTAGGAAATTAAGTAATTCATTGATGAGAGGGGAAGACATTTGTTGGTGGGAAAGGCAGTAATCGGCATCTTTTAAAGGTCTGCAGTAGCTCTTCTCCATAAGCCGATGATGATAGAGGGAAACGCTGCAGAAGAACCAACGCTCCCTGGCTTTGGTGGGGAAATGGGATCCTAGTGTACTGGAGGACAGGCAGCAACCCTGACCACCACAGGCGAGGAGGGCACAATGATCACTAAAGCCATAAGAACTAAGTTGTTATCGGAGGGTTTAGACTCGCAGGATTCCGGGGTTGTCTAATAGATCGTGGAATCCCTGTCAATGAAAGGGGTGGACAGACTACAAGGATGCTGCTTGGTAATTATAAATGGAAGAATTCCAGGTCTGCTGGGCAGACACCTCACTCTAGCTGCTGCAGCAAGGAATTCACGGCCTCTTAACTAGTTTCCACACCTAAGTGAGTTCACCTGGCCGGCCCAGTGGCTCATACTTGTAATCTCTGTGCTTTGGGAGGCCAAGGGGTAGGAGGATCCGTTGAGCCCAGGAGTTTGAGGCTGCAGTGAGCTTCGATTGCATCACTGCACTCCAGCCTGGGCAAGAGAGGGAGACCCTGACTCTAAAAAACAAATACATAGTATATACACCCAAAACCCTTTGACTGAGCAAGAACTTTGAGGAAGGATCCTGCAATGCGGCCACAGATATTCACCCTAAATCATCCCCCAGGGCTTTCCCAGAGGGTCCTACTGCCATTTAAGAGACTATCTGAATATTGGGGAAAGTGAAATACCTGACCTTCTGCGTTATTAGATATTGGCTGTGAAGACCAGAGACCCATTCTATCTACGGTCATTTCCCTAACCTCAGAATGTACAGTGGGAATAGATACATTTAGTAATTGGTAGACTCCCTACTTTGGTTCTCTGGTCAGCGAAGTGAGGGCTATTTGGGTAGGAAGGGCAGAGTAGAAACTTCTGGAACTGCTTCAGCCTTTACTGAGATAGTAAACCACAAACAATGCTACATCCCCATGATAATTGCAGCAATAATTGCCACCATCAAATATTTGAGAAATGCAGTGATAATTCTTTGATTGTTGTTTTGCTTTCAAAAAAATTATAAAAAACACATAACATAATTTACCATCTTACCCAATTTTAAGCACACAGTTCAGTCGTGTTATATATATTCACATTGTGTGATGGATCTCCAGAACATTTTCATCTTGCAAAATTCAAACTCTACACCCATAAACAACAACTCCCTATCTCCCCATTTTCCCAGCCCTTGGAAACCACCATTCTACTTTGTTTCTGTGAATTTGACTACTTTAGACACCCAGGGTGATAATTCTCAACACAACACCATTAAATGCATCTGTTTTCCCAATGCCAAAGCCAGAAAGGGCACAAAGATGACTACAGACTGTCACAAACAGTAGCAGATGGTGACGCCAACCACTGCTGCAATGCAAATGTGGTATCTTCACTAGAGAAAATTAACACAGCTCCTGGAAATTAGTGTGCACTTAGCAATTTTTTCCATCCTTATTAGCAATATAATCAGAGGTAGTTGCCTTCATATAGTAGAAAGAACAGTATACCTTTACTATCTAGCCTCAGGGCTATATATATTTATAGATAGATATAGATACCAACATTCAATAGACAGGGAATGAAAAGACACAGAAATTAAATATGAAAAATACAATTTAGTAAAAAAAGAAAGGATCCATCAGGAGATCTAAATCAGAAAAATAGAAATTCTTTGTAAAAAAAGGAAATAGAAAATAAATTATCTAAAAAGAATTTTTTAACATTCAGATTAAATAACATGAATTTCTCAATTTAAAATATCCACAATTTTTCATCCACACCGTGAATTTTTTTAGGAAAACATGCACTAAAGCACATCATCATGAAATTTCAGAAGCCTGGGGATACAGAGAAGATCTTAAAAGCCTCCAGAAGGACAAAACAGTTCAATACACAGGATTTGTAATGAGGATGGTCTCAGACGTCTCAAAATCACTGAATGCTAGAAGGTAATGGAAACTTGCCTTCAAAATTTTAAGGAAAAAAATAATTGTAATCCCTAGCCCCCAGTGTGGCTATGTTTGGAGATCCAGCCTCTAAGAAAGTAATTGAGGTTAAATGAGGTCATTTAGATAGAGCACTGATGTGATAAGATTAGTGTACTTCTAAAAAGAGACACCAGAGAGCTCACTCTTGCTCTCTGTCCCTGTGTCCACTCATGGAAGAAAGGCTTTGTGAGGACACAGCAAGAAGGCGGCCATCTGCAAGCCAGGAAGAGAGCCCTCACCAGAAACAGAATCAGCTGGAATTTTGACCTTGGACTTCCAGCCTCCAGAACTGTGAGAAAATAAATAAATGTCTGTTGTTTAAAACACCCCGTCTGTGGTATTCTGTTAAGGCAGCCCAAGCTGACTAATGCAGAGTTGAAACTCATTCAAGTGTAAGAGTAGAATAAAAATATGTTCAAACGTGGAAAATCTCAAAAAATTAACCTGTGATGTGCCCTTTTACATGAGTACCCTTTTACGAAAAGTTTCAGGGGGATGTGCTTGACCAAGTATAGCAATAAACCAAGAAAGGAGAAGGCATGGAATCCAATTCAGGAAAGAGGCAAAGGAAATTTCCACGGTGACAGTAGAAGGAAAACCAGTACTCAGACATCTTCCTGGAGAGAACTCATCCAGGTTGGGGCAGAGGAATCTGGGGCTACAGAATGAATGTCACCAGTTGGGGAAATGAAAAAAGAGAGAAAAGGGAGAGAGGAAAAAAGGGACGGTAAGAGGAAGGGAGGGAGGGAGGAAGGGCAGGCAGGCAGGCAGGCAGGCCTGCCCACTACATTTGAATGTATTGTGGGGAAATTTATATTTTAACAGATACAGTTTGGGACTAAATTAAGTAGGTAAGGCCAAGCATGGTGGCTCACACCTGTAATCCCAGCGCTTTGGGAGGCTGAGGTGGGCAGATCACTTGAGGTCAAGAGTTCAAGACCAGCCTGGCCAACATGGTGAAACCCCCTCTCTACTAAAAATACAAAAATTAGCTGGGGGTTGTGGTGGATATCTGTAATCCCAGCTACTCAGGAGGCTGAGTCAGGAGAATCTCTTGAACCCGGGAGGCAGAGGTTGCGGTGAGCCAAGATCGTGCCACTGCACTCCAGCCTGGGTAACAGAGAAAGACTCCGCCTCAAAAAAAAAAAAAAATTAAACAGGTAAATAGAAAGGTTGAAAATGTAAAATAAATAGTATACTTGATCTATAGAAAGCAAAAAGTTGAATAAAAGTAAATGGAATTATAATACACTAGAAGGCACAGCAATGGATACTATTTACATAGTCATAACAAATATTGATTTATCAAGTATCTAGTAATATTGGTAGAATAGGGTGTTACGTGTGTGGAGGGGCAGGGGGAAACTGTAAAAGTATGAAATCCTCACCTTCCATCTTGGAAATTGGTGGGAAAGAAGGAAGAAGAAATAGTGATGTCTATGCATTATTTAGAAATATGGGGGTGAACAGCAAAAAGAATAGCTAAAAGACGGAAAAAGAGAAGGTAAGGTGGAAAGCAGTTGGGACTTGCCAACTGTTTTAATTTACATACTCTGGGCTTTTTTTGTTTTTAAATGTAATAATAATTATAATAGAGCACCAAAGAAAGAGAATCTTCCTTCAGAATTATCAAACAACAATTTTTAATGGTAGAATCTAATCCTTCCTCTTTAAGTTCTAACAGGAACAACGTAGTTGATGGCAATTTTCTAAAAAGAGTAACTCTTTGAGTCCCAATGATTCTTTTACTTAAATAAGTGAGAAGTTTAGCTTTTAGGATTTTTTATTTCAGATATTAAAACATCAGCACAAACACTTGTATTTTTTTTAATGGGAAAAAAAGAAAAAGGAATTCCCTCTGGTGAATTGTATGGCTTTAATGTCACAGATCAGGAGTGACAATAATATATACTTGGCCCTGCTATATATTGCTATCAGAAGGTGTTACTCAAGATCACCTATTCCAAAACAAAATCTGAGGTTTTTGTTCCATGTCTAAAAATCCCACATTGCAAGACTATTTGGTTACTGAGAGGTATTTAATATAATCACTTCACCTTGAAGGATTCACCAAAAGCTAATATTACTTTAATTTAGATGTCTTCTTTTTCCCACTTATATTGGAAAGACTAAGGATATCATGATTATACTATATTGTATAGAAACATGGAATTAATCGTCCCATTTGTTTTTGTATTGGAAAAACACCGGCATTTTTTTATTTTATAAATAAGAATAAAACTACATCAAAATGGAATAAACAATGCGCTTCATCCATGAAAACAACTTTTCTGAATTTGACATCTGGCTATGCCCACTGCAACTATCTAATAAAGTGTATATATCTTCCCCAAATTGGAAACCTAAAACACCATCCATTGAGAATTTGTAAGAGTATAATCTCACTATTCTGTCATCCAGAATATTGATCACAAGCTCAGTATCAAAGCATGATTTCATGGGAGAGACCATTATTTCCTGATGATCAGAGAACTAGATACCAGGACCACATCACTTTTAATCCTCATAGAATGACAAACACTGAATTGTGCAGTGGCATTGTGCCAGCTGCTTGCTTTGAAAGCTATAATAAGCAGCTACACAGAAGTCCTTATAATATCCATTTAACAAACTCTTGATCAGCACGTATTTGTTATAAACCTCCTGATTCTGAAATATTTTTCTAAAAAATATATAAACAACTTGCTCTAGTATACCGTTCCTGTATTTTCCCAATGTTCTGCATGCTATGATAAATTCTTAGGCAGTAAGAGTTGGCCCAACTCATGGTACCATCCACTCTCAGCCAATGAGCTCTAGCACACCACACTGCATCATTTAGTCAATGAGGGTGCTATCTGTGTTGTTATTCCATCTACTTTGTGTTCTAATGAACGGTTTTGACTCATGACAAAAATTGTGCAAGAGGCAGCGCTCAACACTTCTGAAAGAAACAAAGGAAGACTATTATGGTGGATGTTAAAAGGGCAATTGCAGGCCAAGCATGGTGGCTTCTGCCTGTAATCCCAGTGCTGTGGGAGGATCTCGAGGCCAGGAGTTTAAGACTAGCCTGGGCAAGACAGTAAGACCCCCGCATCTTCCAAATATGTATACATATATATATATATGTATATGCATATGTGTATATATATATGTATATGCATATGTATATGTATATATATCCGGCTGCAGTGGTGTGTGCCTGTAGTCCCAGTTACTCTGGAGGCTTAGGTGAGAGGATCCCTTGAGCCTAGGAATTTGAGACTGTAGTGAGCTATGTTCACACCACTGCACTACAGCCTGTGCAACAGAAAAAGGCATTGTCTATGGGAAAAAAAAAAAAAAAAAAAACTTCATTGCATCTTAAGTGCTTTCAAAGAAACAACAACAAAAAAATAGAAAGACTGATATATAATCAGAGGTTGCTGAATGCCCTCTTACATTTGCAGTGAATTATAATCATGACCATAGGACTGACCAAAAATCATCAGCAGAGAATCAAGGCTTGTCATGGCTTCATGGCTTCCAGAAAATCTGAAGCAGCCCGATGAGCTATTGCCAGTGAATAATGGAGGGAAAAATGCATCTCCAGAGACCGTGTTATAATAATCCTGTCTGCCACTGACCAGGTTAGCGCTACCAAATTCAAAAAATTAATTTCCTACTACTCTCCAAAAGACAGATACCCAGACAGCGGTGTGAAGAGTGAATTAAGGGTGGCAAGACTGGAGGCATGATTAACAGTTTGGCTGATTTTTAAAATAGGTTTACAATAGGGCTTTTATTAATCAGGGGAGGTTAACATATGCTGCAGTAATGAACTCCAAAATCTCTGTGATTGAACAAGATAAGGATTAATTTCTCGCTCATAAAAAGTCCAAAGTGTGTTGAAGTTCACACCACTTAAAACTGATGCCTTCCAAGATCTATGCAAAGGGGAAGGAAGAGTTGGAAGACTGAAATAGATGACATCACATCCATGACATTCCAATAGCCCGTGCCCCACTGGCCTAACTAAAAAGAAGACTGGAAAATATAGTCCTCCTGTGAGCACAGGAAGGACAAATGGGGTTCGTGAGCTTCCATCAGCCTGTATCACATCGATGTTGCTGAGGACATTAACACTAAGTCAATGCACTACTCTCTTTGTAAATCTCAGTACCAGGAATGGGCAACCCACTTTTAGTAGGGGGACTTACATTTTCTTTTCCTTTTTTTTTTTTTTTTTTTTGAGAAGGAATCTCACTCTATCACCCAGGCTGGAGTGCAGTGGCACAATCTTGGCTCACTGCCACCTCCGCCTCCCAGGTTCAAGCAATTCTCGTGCCTCAGCCTCCTGAGTAGCTGGGACTATAGGCGCCCACCAGCATGCCTGGCTAATTTTTTGTATTTTAGCAGAGACAAGGTTTCACCATGTTGCCCAGGCTGGTCTCGAACTCCTGACCTCAAGTGATCTGTCTGCCTTGGCCTCCCAAAGTGCTGGGATTATAGGCCTAAGCCACCGCGCCCTGCCTGGGACATGCATTTTAATGTATAATTTTACCCCAAGAGTCCTCTTTCTCTCCCTATCTACCCCCCAATTTCTTCATAAAATGCTTTGTTCTCTTGCTCTTTATTTTTATAAAGTATTTTAAGTTCTTTGGGGATGAGGTTAAATACCAATGATTTTTTTTTTTTTAATAAGCCAAACTGTTAATCCTGCCTCCATTCTTGTCACCCTTAATCCACTCTTCATACAGCCATCTGGGTGACATTTTCTAAGAAGCACATTTTCTAGTAAGCTGTTCAGTGGGTGGCTCCCTACAAAGTACAGGATCAAGTGTCAAGTCCTCGGCATGGCATTTCCAGTCCCGGTGATCCAGCATCAGCCTCCCCTTTCCACCCTTATCTACTGTCATTCCTAATTTTGAACCCTGTGCTTCATCCATACACACTAATCTTCCCAAGTGGTCTAGAGGTTGGGATAAAAAAAATTCTTTCCTTTTTTAAATTTTTATTTTTATTTTAAGTTCTGGGGTACATGTGCAGGATTGTTACATAAACATGTGCCATGGTGGTTTGCTGTACCATCAACCCATCACCTAGGTATTACGCCCCCCATGCATTAGCTACTTTTTCTAATGCTCTTCCTCCCCCGACCCCACCCTCCAACAGGCCCCAGTGTGTGTTGTTCCCTTCCCTGTGTCCCTGTGTTCTCATTGTTCAGCTCCCACTTTTAAGTGAGAACATGCAGTGTTTGGTCTTCTGTTCCTGCGTGGGTTTGCTGAGGATAATGGCTTCCAGCTCCATCCATATCCCTGCAAAGGACATGATCTCTTTCCTTTTTATGGCTGCATAGTATCTCATGGTGTATATGTACCACCTTTTCTTTATCCAATCTATCAATTATGGGCATTGAGGTTGATTCCATGTCTTTGGTATTATGAATAGTGCTGCAATAAACACACATGTGGATGTATCTTTGTAACAGAATAAATCTTGCAGTTTCTAATCATGACATGCAGCCATACCTCCACATTTCCCCATCATAATCTCTCTCCCTGGAGTACCCCCTTCTGCTTTTTTCCAACTTCAAGACTCATATCTCTTCAAAGATTTTTTTTTCCAACCACTCTTTGCACTTTTACTACACCTCTAAGGTAGCAGCTAGCACACTCTACTGGCTATTATTTGTCTACAGACTTTTATCCCATACTAGACAGTGAGCTGCAAAGTCAATGGACAATATTGTACCCATCTTAGAGCCTAAGATTTATTAAACAAAGAAACTGTTTAATAAATGTCTGGGGAATGAATGAATGAATGAAATATAAATGAGGGGAATATACTTATAAAACCTTGAGGATAAAGTACCTGACCTGAGAATAAACCTTGAAGTAGTTGAGATTCAACCACTTGAGGTGCCATTTTGTTATTTACAATAAACCCAAAAATATAAGAGAACCATTAGGCAGTTGTTACAAGTCAGTTAATCACAATGCTTTCAATGTATGTTCTGTTTAGCTCATTAATCTTGGTAATACCATTAGAAGAAAGCGGGTGTGTGTGTGGTATTCTCCAAGGGCAGGAAGGTGGCAAAGGGAGGCGAATCCGAGAGGGTAGAGGGAGGGGAAGGGCGGAAGGAGAAAAAGGTGGGAGGAGGACCAGGTGGGAGGGTGGCGGCTCACTCAGGACCCAGCAGGGGCAGCGCGATGAGGCGGGTGGCCCTGTTCCTGAATGGCAGCCCCAAGAACGGAAGATCCTCAGGCAGATTCTAAGCCTCCTGAAGGATTGTTAGGATTCCACACAGACTGGCTGACATTAAATGTTGGAGGGGCGGTACTTTACAACTACACGGAGCACTTCAGTGAATAAAGAACCTGACAGTATGCTGGTCCACATGTTTAAGGACAAAGGTGTCTGGGGAAATAAGCAAGATCATAGAGGAGCTTTCTTAATTGACCGAAGTCCTGTGTACTTTGAACCCATTTTGAATTACTTGCTTTGTGGACAGCTCATTGTAAATAATGGCATTAATTTATTGGGTGTGTTAGAAGCAGCAAGATTTTTTGAAATTTATTCATTGATTGAACACCTAGAAGTGGCAATAAAGAATTCTCAACCACCGGAGGATCATTCACCAATACCCCGAAAGGAATTTGTCCAATTTTTGCTAGCAACTCCAACCAAGTCAGAACTGCGATGCCAGGGTTTGAACTTCAGTGGTGCTGATCTTTCTTGTTTGGACCTTCGATACATTAACTTCAAAATTGCCAGTTTAAGCCGCTGCAGTCTTGCACATGCAAATCTTTGCTGTGCAAATCTTGAACGAGCTGATCTCTCTGGATCAGTGCTTGACTGTGCAAATCTCCAGGGAGTCAAGATGCTCTGTTCTAATGCAGAAGGAGCATCCCTGAAACTGTGTAATTTTGAGGATCCTTCTGCTCTTAAAGCCAATTTAGAAGGTGCTAATCTGAAAGGTGCTGATATGGAAGGAAGTCAGATGACAGGAATTAACCTGAGAGTGGCTACCTTAAAAAAATCCAAAGTTGAAGAACTGTAACTTCAGAGGAGCAACTCTGGCAGGCACTGATTTAGAGAACTGTGATCTGTCTGGGTGTGATCTTCAAGAAGCCAACCTCAGAGGGTCCAACGTGAAGGGAGCTATATTTGAAGAGATGCTGACACCATTACACATGTCACAAAGTGTCAGATGAGAATTTTAGGGGCTGGAGGAAGATGTAGAAAATGAAAATGTTTTCCTTATCACTTTTCTTTCTCTACCCACTCAGTTGTCTAGAAGAAACAACACTGTAAGGAAATTTTTTAAAAAAACATTTAGAGGATTATGCTTGTTCTCAGCGGTACATAAGAGAAAAAACTGACCTTTTTTTCCATATTCTGATTTGTAACACAAAAGCACTCATTCAATATATGTAGGGAAACTAGATGTTTCTGCCTTTTGAACGGGGTAGGGTGGTTTACCTGGTTTTATGGCCAGGAATAGTATCTATTATGTTTGCTTTTAAATAGGCATGATGTGGAAATACCATCCTGGTTTGAGAGGCATTTGAGGATTTTAATTTATGGAAAGCACAACATATGCAATTATATTTATTGAATACCTAGATGCAGTATAGATATTTAAATTGTTAAAACTTTATGAAAACTTGAAAAACATTGTTCAGGTTCATAAATAGCTTTAGTGATGCCTCCCCTCTTTAAATACCTGTCACACCGTATGAATATGGTGAGATCAGACTCCCTAAGACTCTTTTCAGGCTCATTTTCATAATGTTTACTTTTTAGGGCAAAACAGTAGCTAAATTAAAGTAATAGCCAGTTCTTACTGATTGAGACAGAGTGGAAAGAAAGACATCATTGTACATCACTGTCATTCCAAAGGTACAGTGGAACTCCGGATGGATGAAGAACTTACCTATCACTACAACACTTATAAATGAGAATTTCTCAGAATTTCATTCTAGACAAGTTCCACGCAACACCAGACCAAGCAATTCTATCTATTTACAATATTAGCCTAGTTTTCTCATACAATCATCACAAGCATAGGAAGATACTTCAAAACCAAAAAACCAAGGTCTGTCATTAATATTCATTTAATTCAAATACCAAATAGTTTATATAGGGCCAGCTTAGAAATAGATACTAAATCCAGAGCTACTGCAATCAAAGCTTATATGAATGAAGATGGTAGAGTTGCCTGTTAAAAGGCAATGTAATATAATTGCAGCTAGAACCCCACAGTTGGGAATGAGGAATTTTAAACACATTTGATTACAGCCACCAAAAAATATATATAAAGTAAAAATAAAGGCATTTGGCTGGTCCAAGATGTAATACCAATCAGTCAGCACCTGTGATTCTTTTACTTATTTTTTAGGTTTTTTTTTTTTAAACAAATTTTAGCCTAGTTTTCTCGAGTCATTACCTCTCTGCAGCAGCAGAGGAAGGGCCTGTACCTCCCTACCAGTGACCTGGTGTCCTTATTTCTACCGCAAGAGCAGGGATATTAGCTGTGTCCAAATGGGTTCTGAATTCTACAGACTCATCAACATGAGGCAAGGAATCATTGAAAAACCCGTGTCTCCTTTGGGAGAATGACATATCTTTAGTATTTATGTAGCTTATTCTTCTATATCTACATATGCAAAGCTTTCCTTAACAGTAAAGGGTACATATGCATAGTGGGAGGAGATCAGACCTTTACAAGTGAAGGAAAGCAACTTCAGAAATGAATTATTTGCTTTGCTTTATTATTTTTACCAAGACAGAGAAGTATTGTATTGAGAAATAATCTATTTTCATAATCAATATGTGCCCAAATTATATTTAAATTATTTCACTCTATATTTTCAGGAATTATAGAATGTGTTATTTATTCACTTAAAGGTACCTCTGTAGAAATAACCTAAAACTGCAGAAGGATCTGAAAGATCTAAACATAGTGTGCTTAGAAACTACAGATTTTAGATCTAACGTATACTGCATTAATAAATGATATAAAGTGTTAAAAAAAAAAAAAAAGAAGAAGAAGAAGAAGAAAGCCAGCACCTGTTCACAGAATACTAGGTGACTGTAGCTGGTCTTGAATTCCCTAAAAAGCAGAAATCTGATTCCCAGGGCTGACCGTGAAGAATGTTACAAGGGGGGAAATGACTGTTGTCAGCATCAGATACCCCCCTGCCTTCTCACTCCCTTGTGGAATGATGCTAAATGATGCTAAGTGTTGGAGAAGGAATGCACTTGACCATCCAAGTCAGCCCAGCACTGCATTCTAGTCTCTGCCTTTCTCCAGCAACTGGCCGTGTGGGATCAAGGAGGTTACTTCTCCCTGGGCCTATTTTTCTCCCCTTAGAATGAAAGGTGCACTAGAAATCTAATTCAAAATGCCAATTTTTACAGCCACACACCCAAATCTTTCTTTGTATTCTCTTTGACAGCAGACTCCTTCCTTGTGTCTCCCTGGAGGGCATTCATTTCACACTGAT
The DNA here is from genome assembly GCF_000001405.40 of Homo sapiens. Lineage (NCBI taxonomy): Eukaryota > Metazoa > Chordata > Mammalia > Primates > Hominidae > Homo > Homo sapiens. The sequence goes on along the minus strand of NC_000008.11, from coordinate 31,217,716 downwards.
TTCTTGCTTCCGTAGGTTTCTTGCCAGGTGGAGCTGAGCACATGGTTGCAATGCCTCTCTGCTTTCTGTCCACCTCCCCCAAACCCTGAGCCCCTTACTTACTCCCTTATTTAAAATCCCTTTTCACTGAATACCATGATAATCTTAGTGATCAGTTTCCATGATGAAAACAATTGCGTTCTGTTTCTTAAAGGTTTGGTCCTGTTCATTTTAAAATTTAAGTCAATATTCGATCAGGTCTCTTTCTCTCCTTTGTGGCTCCAGTGGCTGAGGGTGAGAGGGTGGGGGATGCTGTAGGGGACACAGTCTGGGGTCTGTTCTCATGCACCTCCCCTTCCCTCTTTCTCTTCCTTGTACCTGCTCCTTTGGTCTTGGGGTAAAAAGAGGAACAAGAGTGAACTTGGCATTCTCTCCCAAGGGCCATTAACTGCCCTCCTAGATCTCTGGTCTTTAGTGTCAGGTAGGCGGGTAGACACTCCACAGGCCCCTCGGAGGGAGGGCTCATTCCCAAACAGATGGTGACTCTTAGAGTGACTGGGCCAATCGCTGCTGGCTTTAATGTGCATTAATTTATGCCATAATGTAGCAGCCCAGGGCCTCTGTAGCCCCAATCTCTTCTTCCCTCATGGCCAATTCTTCAGCCAGTAGGCCCTTGTAATATCCAACTTCCGTAGTTGGCAATAACCTGAAGCCTGAGGCAAGGAAACATTGACTTCCTTCCCACCTGCCACAGATCTCTCCCCAGAAAGCCTTTGTCCTGTTCCAGTAACACAGCAGCAGCCCAGCAAGTCTGCTAGATGAGCAGATGCCCGCTTAGAGACCCTACTGTATGTTACTTAACTTGTTATTAACTGAACTGTTCATAAGAATACAAGGCAGCTCCTTCACTAATGGTTCTCTTGGGGGCTTCCCTGCCTTGGCTTTGGAAAGAAAAAATCCCCACTTTCCCTCCAGCTTGAGAAGGAAAAGAATAGCTTCACATCTCAAACACTGCTGTCCTCCAAAAGGCGGCATTCCTCTTCCCCCTCCAGGCCCTCTTCTCATATCCAGAGGAGGGGGGTCAGGTGTTGTGGGAGGCATTTGGGTCTGTTCTCTGAGTGCTTCCCAAGAAGTCCTGAGTGGTGTGGCTGGTCCAGAGCACTAATTGTCCCTCCAACTTAGAGTACAGAATGCTTGCTGTGGTTTTTCCTTATTGTGAGCCTTAGTAATAAAATTGAGAAAACAGGATCCCGTTCAGCACCCTACAGCATCTTGTTACATATTCGTGTGTGTTCATACTGCATTAATATCTGGCCAGGCCTGGCAGCTCACACTGATAATCCCAACACTTTGGGAGGCCAAGACAGGAGGATCACTTGCGGCCAGGAGTTGGAGACCAGCCTGGGCAACATAGCAAAACTCTGTCTCTACAAATTTAAAATAAATAGTGGTCCCAGCAGTAGTCCCAGCTACCCAGGAGGCTGAGGCAGGAGGACCCCTTGAGGCCAGGAGTTCAAGACTGCAGTTAACTATGACCACACCACTGCACTCCAGCCTAGGCGACAGAGTGAGACCCTGTCTCTAATAAATAAATAATTTTTACAATATTTCATTAATATCTGTCTTCCCTGCTATACTATAAGGCCATGACAACAAGACCCATGTATGTATGCTTTGCTCAAGATTGAACTCCAGCTACTTAGAATACCTGGCCAAAACAAAATTTTTTGATGTTCAATATTTATTGAATGAATGACAGAATAAAACTCCTCTTACAGTCATTTTGCCCCCATGACCACAGCTGATTGGACAAGAGCTGGGGACATGACCTAAGAAGAACCAATACATGCCAATACCAATACTATGAGCCAAGCAAATGATGTCATGAGAGAACTGGATCCAAAAGACAGGAGGACCAGACAGCCTGTACTGAGTTCTTATTGAGTATCTAGAAGGCTACATGCAGCTTGGATGGGACAGCCATGTGCATGCTAAAATAGAAAATGCTGATCTAGGGCCAGGCACAGTAGTTTCCGCCTATAATTTCAGCACTTTGGGAGGCCAAGGCAGGAGGATCACTTGAGGCCAGGAGTTCTAGACCAGGCTGGGCAACATTACAAGGCCCTGACTCTATAAAAAATAGGAAAAAAAAAAAAGATCCGGGCATGGTGGTTCATGCCTTTAACCTCAGCACTTTCGGAGGCTGAAGCAGGCGGATTGTCTGAGGTCAGGAGTTCAAGACCAGCCTGGCCAACATGACAAAACCCCATCTCTACTAAAAATACAAAAATCAGCCCGGCGCAGTAGCATCCGCCTGTAATCCCAGCCACTTGAGAAGCTGAGGCAGGAGAATCACTTGAACCCGGGAGTTGGAGGTTGCAGTGAGCCCAGATTGCACCACTGCACTCCAGCCTGGCCAACAGAGTGAGACTCTGTCTCAAAAAAAAAAAAAAAAACATCAACCAGTTGTGTTAGCACATGCCTGAGTGTAGTTTCAGCTCCTTAGGGGGCTGAGCCAGGAAGATCACTTTAGTCCATGCATTATAGGTTACAGTGAGCTATGATCATGCCACTTCACTCCAGCCTGGGTGATAGAACAAGACCCTGTCTCAAAAAAATAAAAAAGAAAAGAAAATGCCAATCATGAATCAGGGAGATTAAGAAAAGCAAAGAAAATAGACTACCTGGCTTCAGAGAAGAAGAGAGAATTCTCCTTCCTGACCCTCTAAGTTATTGGTTTTAGCATCTATGAGGCCCATACCTACTTTCTCATTTCCTGAGAGAGCCCAGTATCCTTCCAGTGATTTCTCTTTCAACCTAGTTCGATGGAACTATGGTCCTTGCAACAGATCTTGACACTGAGAAATGGTGCTCCATGTCAGTGAATTCTCTAGGTTATTGAACTTGTTATTACTTGAATTGTTTGTAATAATCTGGTCTTTGTAAATGCATCCTATAGATGTATTCTTAGAATTTGTAAAATATAATATTTTTCTTCATGACTCAGAGTCACCTGTTAAAGAAATAGTCCTTCGGTCTCCAAATTTGCTGTCAGCTGTCACTAGCAGAGCACCTTTTCTCTTAAAATTGTCCTTCTAATTCATTGCAAAGCTTTTCTTTTGAGGAACCAGCTCTGCAAGCTGATTCTACATGGGTGGAGACTCCAACAGGCCACTCTAAGGAAGGGTTTGCTTCCAAATGGATGGTGGTTCTTGGCAACATTGGGCTACCAGCTGCATGCCACAGCTTTCAAGCCACACTATCACTGTTCTAAACCATGTCTGATCACCTCCTTCTAGTCCTTCTTCCATTACAAACTTGTTACCTACATGCTCTTTTGCTTTGACTATTAAGAACTCACATACTGGCTGGGCACAGTGGCTCACGGCTGTAATCCCAGCACTTTGGGAGGTTGAGGTGGGCAGATCACTTGAGGTCAGGAGTTCGAGACTAGCCTGGCCAACATAGTGAAACCCCTAATCTACCAAAAATATTATTTTTAAAAAATTAGCCAGGTGTGGTGGCACATGCCTGTAATCCCAGCTACTTGGGAGGCTGAGGCAGGAGAATCGCTTGAACCCAGGAGGAGGAGGTAGCAGTGAGCTGAGATCATGCCACTGCACTCCAGCCTGAGTGACAGGGTGAGAATCCATCTCAAACCAAAAAAAAAGAAAAGAAAAGTATTCAAACACTGTTAAAGTTCTTTTCTTCAATATCAACCTCCTTTCAATGAAGAGTTGATCTCACTTTCCCAAGGGGCCACCTGGTTGTCTACAGAGAGCAAAGCCCAAACCCTAATGCCTCCCTTTCAGAGTCCAAGCTTGATGCCAGCTGGCCTGCCATTAGGCTGCTCAGGTCAGAGATTAATTTTCCCTCCAACCAGCATGAAACTAAGTCCACTAGACATGCTTGCTTAAAAAAAAAAAAATGAATAGAGATGCCAAATCCAAACAAATCCTCGAGCTTCTAGGGGCAAAATTAAGTCAAGCTCATTAGCAATGAACTAGGCTCATCCCAACAAGGCTCCTGTTTTCTGATGGGTAGCTTGAGGAAATAAGCTCAAGTACAGCTCAGGACCACCAGGGATAATCTGAAGGCCAGGCCAGGACCCTGACCTCTAGTGTGGTCCTAAAGTCTACACTCCTTGAAGATCCGGGATATCAGTTATCAGAACCAAGGGCTCCAGGACCCAGGGAAATTAGAGCATCAGTGGCCCATCTTAAACCCCTCCAGAAACACTTTTACCAGTGTCCACTTTCCATAGGATCCACGATAATGTGAAAACAGGGCCAGTCTCCTAGAGCGCCCACATCAGCCACCATTTTCAGCAGTGTCTGTGCACAAGCTTATATGTCTAGCTGAGCTGGATTTTCTGCTATCTAGACCATAGGGGAAAAAGTCAGGAACTCATTTCTGCCAATATCACAGCATAATCTGACCATATCAAGGGAAAGAAAATTCAGAGCCACTAATTGGAACTAAACTGGAATTCATACATATTCCCATAAACCCCCAAGTCACCAGTCTTAAATTCCATGCCATCACCCTCCAGGTCAGAACTGGCCCTGTATAAGCGGCTGGTACAGACAACCAAAAGCAAAAGAATAAGCCTCAATGTGCTCAGGACACCAGAAGACCCAGGACAATCTGAAACCTAGACATGCCAGTTTTCTGAAGTAAAATTTTGACCTTTTTCGAGGCCAAGGACAAGGCCTCATTTTGCCCCTAAGTCCCAGTCTGGAACACTGAAACAGATCAAGAGTAACTCAATGGGCCAAGAGCCAAAGTTTCTGCCTGCTATAATCTGGAAGTAGAAACCAGAGTTGCAAATTTCTCTACATATCTAGGTATTTTATAGGATAATTCTGGTAGGCTAATAGATCAGAGATATAAATGGGCATATATAGAATTTTATTGGTGTATGTAGAATTTCCTGGAGGAATTTTCCCATCAGACAAGGCTGAAAAGGATAGTGTAATTGACATGTGAACATGGCATCATGATGGATAAAAGTAGATTATGGGATCCACAAAATAGTACAACATGGGAAGAGAGCCTTCCAGAACCAAGGGTCTTGGGCCCAGAAGACAGATAGAATCAAAGGCATCAATAGGACACTTGAGAAATTAACACCAGAACCTACAGAGATGGGGTGTTGAAAAAGCCCTCCTGGAAGCCATCTGGAGCAAAGGAAGGGACACCTGTCAGGCCTGGTGTCTGCTATAGAACCCTCTACCGACTACGTAGGTCAATTTCTCCACTTAAGAACTTCTGAAAATCAGGAGTCCTCAGAAATAAAAGTGGATTAGGGCCAGGCGTGGTGTCTCATGCCTGTAATTCCAGCACTCTGGGAGGACAAGGCAGGTGGACCGCCTGAGGTCAGGAGTTTGAGACCAGCCTGGCCAACATGGTGAAACCCCGTTTCTACTAAAAATACAAAATTAGCTGGGCATGGTGGTGTGCACCTGTAATCCCAGCTACTCGGGAGACTGAGGCAGGAGAATTGCTTAAACCCAGGAGGCGGAAGTTGCAGTGAGCCAAGATCGTGCCACTGCACTCCAGCCTGAGCAACAGAGCTAGACTCCATCTCAAAAAAAAAAAATGATTAATTAATTAAAGTGGATTCATATAATAAAAAATACAGTATTAAACAAAACATGTGAGGAAATTATTAAGTCTGGGTATCACCTCTAAACCATGATCTGCTACTTATTTTACTTTAAAGTATTATATAGCATTATGTGCCAGGCACTGTTTCCAAGTGGTTTACAAATGTTAACCCATTCACTCATTAACTGTGGAAATAAACAAGACCACCCAAATGAGAAAGCAAATGTAATTCCTGTGATTTGAATGTCCCCTCCAAAACTCACGTTGAAATTGTATTGCCATTGTAACAGTGTTATGAGGTGACACCTTTAAGAGGCTGTTAAGTCATGAGGGCTCTGCCCTCCTGAATGGATTAACACCGTTATGGTGGGAGTGGGTTAGTTATCGCAGGAGTTTGGCCCCCTTTATCTGTCTCACCCTCTTTTGTCCTCCTTTGCCATGTGATGCTCTCCACTATGTTATAATGCAACAGAAAGGTCTCTCCAAGATGCGGCCCCTCAAACCTGGGCTTCCCAGCCTCCAGGACTGTGAGCCAAATAAACTTCTCTTCTTTATAAATTACACAGTCTGTGCTATTCTAACAGCAGAAAATGGACAAAGACATCTATTTATTCAAAGCTTGCTATAGCAAGGGAGTCAACCACTATCACGTGTTTTGGCAGAGACTCAAAGGCAGGCAGAAAAATGGGAAAGCTTCATAGTAGAAAGAAGGGACAGCTTCTGGTATGTTCTGATTGAAGGACGTTGGTATGGGGAAGCTGTGGGTGGGCTGACTAGGAGCAGAGCATCCTATAGGGAGCATATTTAACTTTCCCTGGTTGGTTGCATATTGGAATCAGGAACAAAAACTGGGGAAGCTGTCAGTCATTTATCAAGTCCTGGCCACTTGGGGCCAGTTGTTACAGCAGTTATTGTTTGACTTCCTGGACTGTTTGTTAGAGATTGTGGTCTGATTTCATACAAAGCTGACTTGTAGGCAGGCTAGCTTCATGGGCTTAATGGGTTGGTTTTTGGGCTAGTTGCTGCAGACCGTAAGGGTACTATTTCTGCATATGGTCTGGCCATTGTCTATTTGTACATTCAGTCTCTCATAACCCTATAAAGTACCACTACTGTTCTCATTTTACAAATGAGAGGAGTATGGCATGGAGACACAGTGACTAGCAGAGCCAGAATGCAAACTAAGGTATTCTGTCCACAGAGTCTATCCCCTTAGCCCCTGCATGAAGGTGCCTCCGATGTAGCTTGGTATTGAGTCAGTTCTGGAAATTTCTTTTCTATGAGAAAGTCTGAATCTCTGTTCTTCTACCCAGTTGTTTGGGGTTCTACCCACCCATTCTTGTAGCCCAGCCAAAGAGAATGAGAACTTGACCTTGGCATGCTAAAGCACCAGCCTGTGTAATGTATTGTAATGCCAGTAATTTATGAGACTTTTTCTGTTTGGAGGGTTTTTACTTTTGTGCATGATTGTCTTCCCTGGCAAGATTAAGAAAAGATAATTTTTACGGGTTAGGTTCCCTGGAGAGACTCTGAAACAGGGATTCACACGCAGCACATTTATTAGAGAATGCTCGTGGGATTAAGCCCTGTGAAAGGAAGGAGAAGGGACCAGGACTGAGAAAGAGAAGCTGAGCAGTGATACAGCCTCAACAAAGGCTTCAGCCCACTCCATGTATTACCAGTGGAGGGTGTCCAGGTTCTTGGCATTTTGAACAAAGAATTGGACAAAACGCACAAAGCAAGGAAAGAATGAAGCAACAAAAGCAGAGCTGTACTGAAAATGAAAGTACACTCCACTGAGGGGGAGCCGGCTCAAGAGTTCTCCTTACAGAATTTTCTGGGGTTTAAACACCCTCTAAAGGTTTCATTGGTTACTTGGTGTACACCCTAAGTAAATGAAGTAGTGGTCTGCAATCAGAGGCTGAAGTTACAAAGGTTACACCCTAAACAAGTGTCTGATTGGTTGTAGAAAGCAAGGGGGGGATGGGGGACGGGGGTAGCGACGTTGCAAAGTAAGTAGCCTCTGGTCCTTTTGTTACTTAGGTGTGGAAAGTCGGGGCTTTCCTTTTATTTCTAGGAAGTTGGCATGAATTGGCCTTGGTTTCCCTGCCTCCAGACCCTATTGTCCTGCCTCACATGGAGGCACAATAAAGCCAAAATGGACCTTCAGAATTGTCCTGCGTGGCAGCAGGAGCACCTGGCCTTAGATTCCTCCTAAGTTAGTCACTAATGCAAGCTGCCTCCACCAAGAACAGCCATGGGCAGTTTCCAGAGGGAGCTGCCAGCTGAGGGCTATCTTCTGACAACGTTACAGAAAACAGGTGTGGAGTATGTTTATGTCCTGAAAACATCATTCTCAGAAAGGAAAAGCTATAATTACTCCTCAGAAACTACAACTAATAAAAAAGAAAGCACCAGTTCCTGGCAGTGTATTTGGCAGCACTAAGACAGAGACAATCTCTGAGTGCTGATGTGGTAACCTCTGGGGAAAGTGAACCAAGAGAAGTATGAACTCCAAAATGTCAGGGGTGGTGGAGCGGCCAGTTGGCTTCTTGCCCCAGCCTCTTCCAAAGATGCCTTGGGTCCCAGTTTAATCCTCATTCACACCATAAACATGGTGATTTCCTTACAACCAGTACAAGTGCATGAGACTTGGTTCCTAAACTGGAATTAGACCAGAGCATGAGCCAATCAATAATTTTTTGTAATTTGTGTATCTTATCTGTGATCTCATTAAAGAGCCACTTTTCCACCTGCTCTGGGTTTAAATCTTGTGATCCCTGAGCCAGGGTCCTCTCCCTTGAACTCTGGCCAACTCAGGGGCAATCTGAAAAGAGGATGAATAATTTCCCTGAGAGGAAGAAGGAGGGACAAGGAAATGGCAGAAGGAAGGATGGAGTGGGGGGACTGAGAGGAGAAAAGGAAAAGAAGAACAGAAGGAAAATAAGACATTAAAAGACAATGCTTATGCAATGTTCTACCTGAACACGGGGGCAGATTAGAAGACATTTCAAGATTCTTTCGTCCTCGTAAGTCTAACAGTAAGTAGGCTCTGCAAGTAACTTCCAGTAGAGACCATATGCCTCTGTCCCCATCTACCAAGGCTGGTTGTGTATTTGGGAAACAAAGCATGTTTCTACCCACCAGTACCCTCCCACTAGAGAACACAGCAAAGCTTTATAATACTTTCTTCCTGTCCCTTTTAGCAGCTAATCTGCACAAAGATATAAATCACATGCTGATAAGAAACCCTCTCCACATAAAATAAAGAAAATGGGCCAGGCGCAGTTGTTCGCGTCTGTAATCCTGGCATTTTGAGAGGCCGAGGCAGGCAGATCATCTGAGGTCAGGAGTTCTAGACCAGCCTGACCAACATGGTGAAACCCCGTCTCTACTAAAAACACAAAAAAAATTAGCTAGGCATTGTGGTGCACGCCTGTAATCCCAGCTACTCAGGAAGATGAGGCATGAGAATCGCTTGAACCTTGGAGGCAGAGGTTGCAGTGAGCCAAGAGCGCACCACTGCACTCCAGCCTGGGCAACAGAAGAAGACTTCGTGTCAAAAAAAAAAAAAAAAGAAGAAGAAGAAAGAAAGAAAGAAAGAAAAGTAAAGTAAAAGAATAAGAAAACGGCCGGGAGACAAGCCAGAAAGAGTGATACCCCATAACAACTGAGTAGTGAAAGCTGAAAGTATTTTTCAACTCACATTGCAAGTAAGACTATGAAAAAGAATCTTCTTTTCAAGTGATTTGCTCTTTATAACAAAGTGTTAAACACACACACAGAAAATGCTTAACAGCTCAGAAAATAGCTTTGAAAGTTCATTCATATAGGAGTATTTTCATTTTCTCAAAACATTATCTATAAAAAAAACTGTATACCATTTGTTGGAGAAAACAGGCTATTTTTAAATGTTGCAGAGCCTGACATATACATCTCACTTTCTAAGTATCCTGATAGAAAATCCTTCTATTTTCTGAAAGATCCTTGCAGAATGTTAAGCATATGTTTCTTCCAAAAGCACATGATTTTGAACTTGGAATTTTTCCAGTCTCACAGGTCTTTTAGCAAAACATTCAGGTTCTCTTGGCCTCCTGCTGAGGTAGACAGCTGAAGCCTTTATAGGCTAAGGCAGGTTTTAGAAATTTGCTTTTTGCACTTACGAGACAGTTAATCCCATTATTAATTTGTAATATGTCATTCTTACACAGATTTAGCTAAAACTCAGAAAACCCGAAATTCACACACTAGAAGGATGTTATAAAGTGTACAAGAACAATTTATAACTCGTTTTATGCAACACGATAATTTCTTCCTCTTAGTTTTATTGTTTGGAGTTCAGCTTATAAAAGCTTAGAATATATGAATTCCTACAATGATTAAAAGTAACTCAGATGTGTCAAAGATTTGGCAACCAATTAAATATTACTTATTTATTCCAAGTTGTTAATTGTGGTCACCTCTGGAGAGAAGGTTTTTCATTTTCCTTTATTTTGCTGTTAAAAGTCTATTTGTTCATTTTCACCTGGCTATAAAGATAGCAAGACTGGATAATTTATAAAGGAAAAAGTTTTAATTTACTCACAGTTCCACATGGTTGGGGAGGCCTCAGGAAACTTACACGCATGGCAGAAGGCGAAGGAGAAACACATACCTTCCTCACAAGGCAACAAGAGAAAGAGTGACGGGGAAAGAGCCCCTTATAAAACCGTCAGATCTCGTGAGAACTCACTCACTATCACGAGAACAGCATGGGGGAAACCGCCCCTATGATCCAGTTACCTCCCACGAGGACCCTTCCTCCACATGTGGGGATTATGGGGATTACAATTTGCAGTGAGATTTGGGTGGGGACAGAGAGCCAAACCAAGTCAAGACCCTCTTTCCTTTTTGCAGGGGAACTTTGATTTTTCTTATTAAGCCATTGAAGTGTTATTTACATACATAAACTGGAAATTTCACTAAAGAAATTTGTAAGGTTAAAGCATTTAGCTAAGAATGTGCTCTAAGTTTTCACTGAAGGGGGAAAATATCAACAATTCATAATCCCCTTTTCTTTTAACACCATACTTTTTTTCTCTTTTCTTTTTCTTTTTTTTCCTTGAAACAGAGTCTTGCTTTGTTGCCCAGGCTGGAGTGCAGTGGTGCAATCACTGCTCACTGCACCCTCTGCCTCCCAGGCTCAGGTGACCCTCCCACCTCAGCCTCCTGAGTAGCTGGAACTACAGGCACACGACACCATGTCCGGCTAATTTTTGTATTTTTTGTAGAGATGGGGTTTCGCCATGTTGCCCAGTCTGGTCTCAAACTCCTGAGCTCATGCAATCCACCTGCCTCAGCCTCCTACCATACTTTATTTCTAACACCATCACTAAGTCTGCCTCAGCTGGGGATAATACCATCACTTTCTAAATGTAGCACATTTTGCTCCTCTTTATTTAGTGTTAGATGATAGTTATGTTGCTATTCCCCTAGACATAAAAAATGAGTTCACTTAGGCAACTCCATTTCCCAGACACCATAAAATATTACATAAGAAAAACATACTAGTTCCATCAATATTCTGGGACCCTGGGATTTCACATCATGGTGTCTCCAATTTAGCAACTTCTCCTTCTCAACAATGTCCTGAAATTTTATATGACCTATAACTTGTTCCATTTTGTGCAGTTTTATGTATCCCCTGACAGATATCCCCTGGCAGGAAGGGGCCCTCAGAATAAAATAAAGTACTGTATCACCAGGAAGGCAAGCTCTGCAGAAAACGCAGGGATAATCAGCACATGCAGTCTGTCACAGGCAGGGAGGGTAAAGAAAGAACCGTTGCTTCAACTGTGGTCCTGTCTTCTAAATGCCAGTCTCCTAGAGGTGTGGACCTTGCTGGGTGGTTTGTGATTTCAGTTCCCGAGGATGAGATTTTAATTTTCTTTTTCATCAAGTTTTGAAATGATATTGGTCCACTTTTCCCAAGAGCACAGAGACTAATATAGATGCAAAAGAGAGAACGGGGCTGGGTGTGGCAGCTCACACCTCTAATCCCAGCACTTTGAAAGGCCAAGGTGGGAGGATCACTTGAGGTCAATAGTTCAAGACCAGCCTGGACAACATAGCAAAACTCTGTCCCTAAATAAAAATTTTAAAACTGGCCAGGCACGGTTATGCACACCTGTAGTCCCGGCTACTCAGGAGGCTGAGGTAGGACGATCCCTTGAGTCCGGGAATTCCTGGCTGCAGTGAGACATGATTACACCACTGTACTCCAGCTTGGGCAAAAGAGTAAGACCAAGTTTGTTTCATTGTTAGCAAAAAACCAAAAGAGAACAGGTTTAATTTTAGTGTTAGCAAATTATCCAAGATTTGCTTAGAATAGACTTAGTGAGATTTTGGGTAGAATTTGTGCTATTCTAAACCAATACTACAACCAAGATGCTAAGACAGTTTAGAGGGGTTAAGAAGTTTCTACTTGAGTAGATCTATGAAGGCTTCATGGCGGAGGTGATGCTGGAATTTGGCCTTGAAGAGAGAGTAGGTTTCCCTCGATGGAGAGCATTCTGGGTAGACAGAGCAGCATAAACAAAGGTCAAAAATTGAGAGGCCGCGGGCACCATGGCAGGCACGTGGCTGGGTGCAAATAGACTTGACTTTCCAAACTCCTGGAAGATACAAAATATACTTCATTCACTTTTAGTAGTAAAAATAGCCTCCATGCAAAAAAATTAAAATATCTACTGTAATCCCAGCACTTTGGGAGGCTAAGGCAGGTGGATTACTTGAGGTCAGGAGTTCGAGACCAGCCTGATCAACATGGCGAATCCCCGTCTCTACTAATTCTGGCTACTCAGGAGGCCGAGACAGGAGAATCGCTTAAACCTAGAAGGTGGAGGTTACAGTGAGCCAAGATTGTGCCACCGCACTCCAGCCTGGATACGGAGTAAGACTCTGTCTAAAAAATAATAATAATAATTAAAATATCTAGTCTCTTATAACTGTAAAAGTTCTTAAACTTGGCAGGGCCAATGGCTTACACCTGTAATCCCAGCACTTTTGGAGGCTGAGGCAGGAGAATTGCTTGAGCCCAGGAGTTTGAGACCAGCCCTGAGCAACATAGCAATACCCCATCTCTACAAAAAAAAAAAAAAAAAAGGTGAGCATGGTTGTATGTGCCTGTAGTCCCAGCTACTCAGGAGGCTGAGAAGGGAGGATTGTTTGAGCCCAGGAGGTTGAGGCTGCAGTGAGCCTTGATCATGCCAAAGTTCCAAAACTTAATTTAGCCTTATATTTTTCTCCATCCCTCAATTTTTACTGGCTTCTGTTTGGAGGTGGGGAAGGAGGGTGTGGTTCCTCTGTCCCCTTCTCTCTCCCAGCCTACTTCTCCCCCACTGGGAAGCTACAGTTCCAGACCTCTCCATGGTCAGAGCCACGTGGCAGCCAGTGAGCAAGTAAGGGATTCTTGCTGGCCTAGAATTCCCACGTGGGTCTGGCTGTTCATTGCACACAGATTATGGTGGTGCTTTCCATGGGAAATTCAGAAGTTCCCATGACCTAGAGAACCTCTTACCCACTCCTCCTTCAATCCTTGGGCATCCTCTCTCTGCTGGTCAACCCTGTCCAACAGGCCCCAAGAGGACCCCATACCAGACCTCTCCCCTACTTGGCTTAAATGTGTCCACAGGAAATGACCCCACATCCCTTTCCCTGACATTCTCTAGGAAGGCAGGCCGCACCCAGCACGGCAGCCACCCTCCCTGCTGTGTCACCGGAGCAGTTCATTGGCCCTTTTCTCACCCTCTGGAGTTCCCACACAGGTGTGAGACCCCAGTCTTCTGTGTCTCCCTGCTGTGGTAAACACATTTCAAAATGATTCCATTGGCCTCATGGAAGCCGTCACAGGTTGGGGTTAGAAAACAATACCCTCTCAGCCCTTCACCAAAGGGGCCATTTATCTGTGCACATGTATCCATTGATGGATGAATAGATACAGATTATAGATGGATAAATAGGTAAAAGAAAGGACATTTACTTAAATGGGATGACACCATTTTTAACAAAACATATTTATTTAATTTCATTTGAATTTCACAGAAGGAAAATCAACTGGAATTGTGAACATCAAATCGATGTTCTTTAGATATTATTTCTTAAAATAGCCTTCAAAGGATATGAAAAAAAGATTGAGGAAAACTTAGTTTTCAGTCATTAGGGTCTTTTTTCTTACATGTTTCCATTTTAAAGAATATTAACTAATTCCCTACTATGAAAGAACACATCCTCCCGTATCCTCTCTCCAAACTCCTTAGTTTTTTTTTTTTAGATATATTGTTATTTACATTGTTTAGATTTATGGCACTTACTTCATTGTCTAATTATGACCCTTAGTGATTTTAGTAAGAGATATATATTTAAATGGACTCAATGAACCCTCAAGTCATTTTATTACAGCTTCCCTATTCATTATTTTGAATCAATTCTTATTTTTCTAGATTCATTGGCAAAAAAATTTCATGGAGGTTGTATTTTCTTCATGCTTTTATATTTATATTTTTAAGGTAACATACACCAGAAGTCTTTAGTTAAAGGACGTCTTTGGCCAGACAAGGTGGCTCACGCCTGTAATCCCAGCACTTTGGGAGGCCAAAGCGGGCAGATCACCTGAAGTCTGGAGTTCAAGACCAGACGGGCCAACATGGTGAAACCCCATCTTTACCAAAAAAAAAAAAAAAAAATTAGCTAGGTGTGGTGGTGAGTACCTATAGTCCCAGCTATTCAGGAGGCTGCAGCAGGAGAATCACTTTAACCCAGGAGGCAGAGGTTGCAGTGAGCCGAGATCGCACCACTGCACTCCAAACTGGGAGACAGAGAGAGACTCCATCTCAAAAAAAATTAATTTAATAAATAAATAAAGGACATCTTCACTGAGTATATAATCTTGAGTCAAAATGTCTCCCCTCAGAATTTCATGGACATTGGAATTTCATTCCATTGTCACGGCATTCAATATTGGGGGCAGTGGAGATGTGGGGAAAGCAGCAGGGACCAGTCTGACTTTCCCTTCTAGGTGATTGGCTTTTTCTGTTAGGATGCAAAATAGAGATAAAGAAACAGGCATAAAGTTTGTCTGAAAAGAATAATTTGAAAGCTATCACAGGTGCTGGGAAAGACAAGGGTCTTCACACTACAGCATCACCAGGGAATGGCTGTTGGTCTAGGCAGGCCCGAGGCATCCTTCACCTCTGTTCTAGGCTGTCTTCCTACAGAGGAGCAAAGTCCTGCAGAAATATCACCCCAGGGCAAGTCAGTGCCTCTCAGACCCTTCTGGCTGGTGGGGACAGCCCAGACAGAAATCTCTCCCTTTCTGAAAGTTCTAACACATGCAGACTACTGTAAATAGAATTTAAAAAGAAAATGAAGAACATTTCAATCAAGGCCTACTGAATATCTCTCAATGGGAATATCCAATTCATCAGAATGATACAGTCTTTAAACATTTGGGACAAATATCACTAAAACTAAAGCAGAAGTTTCTTTGATTCAGGCTTGATTTGAAGAAAATAATGCATATATACCCTCATGAGCCTAAAATTTACCAGTACACTTTATTCAAGGAAAAAAAATGGGGCCAGGTGTGCAGTGGCTCACGTCTGAAATCCCAACACCTTGGGAGGCTGAGGCGGGAGGATTGATTGAAGCCAGGAATTCAAGACCAGCCTGGGCAACACAGTGAGACCTTGTCTCTACAAAAAAAAATAAAGAAAATTAGCCACACATGGGTGGCGTGCACCTATAGTCCCACCTACTCAGGAGGCTGAGGTAGCAGGATCGTTTGAGCCCAGGAGTTGGAGGCTACAGTGAGTTATGATTGTCCCACTGCACTCCTGCTTGACAGAGCAAGACCATGTCTCAAAAAAGAAAAAAGAAAACAATGAGATCTAGGTAGTAGTAATTTTTAATAAGATTTATAAATTGAAATATTGTAATGAATTTCTAATGCAGCTCAAGAAAAAAATCAAGATTAAATAAAAATTGATTCAATATCTACAGTGAACAATATCTACTTATTATAAAAATAAGTCCAAGTTGGCCAGGTGCGGTGGCTCAGGCTTGTAATCTCAGCACTTTGGGAGGCCAAGGTGGGCAGATCATTTGAGGTCAGGAGTTCAAGACCAGTCTGGCCAACATGGTCAAACCCCATCTCTACTAAAAATACAAAAATTAGTTGGTGTGGTGGTGCATGCCTGTAATCCCAACTACTCAGGAAGCTGAGACATGAGAATCACTTGAACCCAGGAGGCAAAAGTTGCAGTAAGCCAAGATTGCGCCACAGCACTCTAGCCTGGGCAATAGAGTGAGACTCAGTCTCAAAAAAAAACAAAAAACAAAAAACAAAAAACAAAATCAAAGTTATTACAGTACAAGCTCTTTTACAAAAAAAGAAAAATGCTTCTTTTTGTTTTCCATGTACTTGTTTTAACCACTCAAGCTGATCCTCTCTGGAGTTACCTGTAATTCCTTGTTGTGGGTTTTCTGTTGTCAGGCCACCCTTGTCCAGTCATCTGGCCAGGAGGAAAAGGCTTTTCTTGGAGCTTTTTTCTTCTATGCGCATTGGTGACTGTAGGTTGGAGTCTTCTGCAGCTCCGTGTCCAGGATATAAGGGAGGTGATAAGGAAATCCACGGAATTCCCCACTGAGTTGTTTTCCAAGTCCTGAGGTCCCTAGGCAGTCCACCTCCTTTCACCTTTCAGAGCCTTCCGCAACTTTCTGTGCTTTGTTCAGAGTTTTTTAGTCATGAGGAAGAGGACCTGAGAAGAATGGGGTCATTCCTTCTTTGGAGCAACCAGAAGTCTGAAAATTTTTGATGTGTAAAATTTTGTTGATATGGCTTTTATATAAATAAGCATTGGTGAGAAAAAAACAATCCTGTGAGTGAAGATGCATAAAGTTAGGGAATAGCATATCATCTGCAAAATATTCCAAACAATGAATTCAAGGAATTATAAGTGAATGGAATACTACTCAGCACTATAAAGAAATTAGCTATCAAGCCATGAAAAGACATGGAGGAATCATATTACTAAGTGAAAGAAGTCAATTTCAAAAGGCTACCTACTGTATGAGTCCATCTCTATGACATCCTGGAAAAAGCAAAACAATGGAGGCAGTGAAAAGCTCAGTGGTTGCCAGGGCTTACACAGAAGGAAGGGATGAATAAGGGGAGCACAGAAGATTTTTTAAGACAGTGAAACTATCCTGTATTCTGTATGACACTATAATGGTCAATACATTTCATCATACATTTGTCAATACTCACAGAATGTAAACACCAAGAGCGAATCCTCATATAAGCTATGGAGCTTGGGAAATAACGCTGTGTTGACATAGGTTCATCGATTACAACAAACATACCAATCTGGTAGGGGATGTTGATAGGGAGTGTATTAGTCCATTCTCACACTGCTAATAAAGACATACCTGAGACTGGGTACTTTATACAGAAAAGGAGGTTTAATGGACTTACAGTTCCACATGGCTGGGGAGACCTCGCAATCATAATGGAAGATGAAGGAAGAGCAAAGGGACTTCTTACCTGGCGCCAGGCAAGAGAGGACTTGTGCAGGGGAACCCCTCTTTATAAAACCATCAGATCTCATGAGACTTATTCACTATCATGAGAACAGCATGGGAAAGATTCGCCCCCATTATCCAATTACCTCCCACTGGATCCCTCCCACAACACGTGGGAATTGTGGGAGCTACCATTCAAGATGAGATTTGGTGGGGGACACAGCCAAACAATATCAGGGAGGTTCTGCATAGGGGTACTATTTTTCTGGGCACACTCTTTACTTTCTTCTCAATTTTGCTGTGAACCTTAAACTGCTATAAAAAATAAAGTCTAGGTGTTTTTTATTTTTTATTTTTAAGTGAGCAATAAACAGATGTCAACACCAAGATGAATTAGTTACTGGAATTATATGACAAGTATTTTAAACAGATATTATAAAAGTGCTTCAACAAGTAATTACAAATTCTCTTGAAACAAGTGAAAATTTCAGCAAAAATGGAAGTCATTGAAAAATAACCAAATGGAAATTATAGAACTGAGAAATACAATAATCAAAATTAAAACTGTGTGGTTGGGCTCAATAATAGAGATGATAGAGGACAGAATCAGTGGGCTTGAAGGTAGATCAATGGAATTTACCCAATCTGAACAACAGAGAAAAGAAAGACCGAAATAAAATGAACAGAGAGTCTCAAAGACCAGTGGGACCGTAACAAAAGAGAACACGGTATCATTGGAATACTTCAGGAAGAGGAGCAAGACCATAGAACTGAAGAAATTCAGTAAAATTTGGTGGAAGACATAAACCTACAGTTTCAAAAAGTTGTGTGAACTATCATAAGCAGGATAAACTCAAAGAAATTCACACCAAGACATATCATAATTAAACTTGTAAAAACTAAAGACAAAGTCTTGAAGGCAACTAGACAGAAAACATCCATTACTTACAGGGAAATGACAGTTTGAATGAAAGTGGATTTCTCTTCTGAAACCATAAAAGACAGCAGAAAGTGGCATAACATTTTTCAAGTGCTTAGAGGAAAAAGAACTATCACTCACAAATTCCATATCAGGTGAAAATATCCTTCAGGAATGCAGGGGAAATAAAGACATTCTCAGATGAAGGAAAACTGAGAATCTGTTGCTAGTAAATCTGTCCTTAAAGAACGACTAAAGGAAGTTCTTTAAACAGAAAGGAAATGATAACAGAAGAATGCTTGAAACTTTAGAAAAGAATGAAGAACATCAAAACAGGCAAAGACAGGGGTAAACATAATAGATGATCCTATTCTCCTGAGTGTCTTAAATTATATTTGAAGGTTAAAGCCAAAATAACACTCTCTAGTGTGCTGATCAATGAATGTAGAGGGAATACTTGAGACACATGTTTTAAAAATGGGAAGAGTAAAGGAATCTAAATGGAGGTAAGTTTTCCACACTTGCCTTCAACTGGAAAAACACTGACACCAGCAGAATGTGACTCTTGACATATGTATATGGTAACACCCAGGGCAACCACTAAGAAAAGTGTACAAAGAGATGTACCCAAAATGCTACAAATAAATCAAGATGAAACCTTAAAAAATATTTAAATAATCCACCCAAAGTGAGAATAGAGGAATAAGAAACAAAGTAAACAGAAAACAAATAATAAAATGGGAGATAAGCTTTAACACATATGAAAAGACAAGCTACAAACTAGGAGAACATATTTACAAACCATGTATCCAACAAAGTACCAGTATCTAGAATATATTTCTTAAATTCTCAAAACTCAACAGTTTTTTAGAAATCCTGGGTCTTCTTTAAAGACATGAAGTATTTCACCAAGTGGATATACAGATGGCAAATAAGTACATGAAAGATATTCAACATCATTAGCACTGGTGAACTAAAAATTAAGACCACAGTGATATTGCACTACATACATATCGGATTAACTAAAATAAAAAAAATACTGAGAACATGAAATGCTGGTGAGGATGTAAAGAAACTAGATTATTCATACACTGCTAGTAGGAATACAAAATCATATAGCCACTCTGGAAAACAGTTTGGCAGTTTCTTATAAAACTAAACATACCATTGCATTCTTTGGCATTGATTCATCTCAGAGAAATGATAATATGTTCACACAAAAACCTGTACACAAATGTTCATAGCAGCTTTATTCATAATAGTTAAAAACTGGGAACAACCCTGATGTTTTCCACCAGGTGACTGATGAAACAAGCAATGCGGCATTCATACCATTGAAAACTAGGTGGCAATGAAAAGAAACAAGCTATTGATACATGCAACAACTTGGATGAAGTCTCCAGGGAATTATGCTGAGTGAAAGAGCCAATCTCAGCCGGGTGCGGTGGCTCATGCCTGTAATCCCAGCAAGTTGGGAGGCCGAGGCAGATCACCTGAGGTCAGGAGCTCGAGACCAGCTTGGCCAACATGGTGAAACCTTGTCTGTACTAAAAATACAAAAAAAAAATTAGCCGAGCGTGGTGGCAGGCACCTGTAATCCCAGCTACTTGGGAGGCTGAGGCAGGAGAATCGCTTCAACCCACAACTGGAGGCGGAGGTTGCAGTGAGCCGAGATCACACCAGTGCACTCCAGCCTGGGTGGCACAGTGAGACTCCATCTCAAAAAAACAAAGAAAAGAAAAAAAAGAAAAAAAAAACAGGAAAGAACGAATCTTAAAGATGAGAAACTGTATGATTCTGTTTACATAACATTTTTGAAACGACAAAATTGTAGAAATGGAGAACAGATTAGTGGTTGCCGGCGTGAGGGATGGGGGAGGGGAGAAGGAGGCAGGTATGGCTATAAAAGAGTAACACCAGGATCTTTGTGGTGATGAAAATGTAACTTGACTGTATCAAATGTATCAATGTCAATATCCTGGTTATTATATTTGTAAAATGCCCCCATTGGAGGAAACTGTGTAAGAGAGGACACAGGATTTGAATCTACAATTGTCTTAAAAGTAAAAGTTCAGGCTGAGCGCTGTGGCTCACACCTGTAATCCCAGAACTTTGGGAAGCTGAGGCGGGTGGATCACAAGGTCAAGAGATTGAGACCATCCTGGCCAACATGGTGAAACCTTGTCTCTAGTAAAAATACAACAATTAACTGGGCATAGTGGCACACACCTGTAGTCCCAGCTACTCAGGAGGCTGAGGCAGGAGAATCGCTTGAACCCAGGAGGCGGAGGTTGCAGTGAGCCAAGATCACGCCACTGCACTGCAGCCTGGTGACAGAGTAAGACTCCACCTCAAAAAACAAACAAAAAAAAAAAACACGATAAACAAAGTGAGACCCCTATCTCTATAAAAAAAGAAAAGACCCATGGTAGGAGTCCGAGGGCAGGAGAGGCAGAGACAGAAAGACCCAATCTTTGTACTGCCCGTAGGACAGCAAAGGTCAACCTAAGGGAAGCAAAAAGGAAGGGGATCAAAAATAACAAAAAAGAAAAAAAAAAGAAGGAAAAGAAAGAGGATCAGTAACATCTGGAAAAGACTTGACACCACATTAGAGTTTTCTGTTTTATGTCTGACTTTGGCACTTGCTTCTGCCAACAGGCTCTAATCAAACACAAACAAAATCCTCCAATTCAGAGAGGCCGGAGCTTAAGCTGATGGTAACAAGGACTCAAAGCTTGGCCCTACAAGCAACTTAGAAAACAAAATGTACAAAGAGAGAGACACAGTGCCAACCTCACTTATCGTGGGTCAAGTGGAGTTGTTGCTGTGGGAGGCTCTTAATGGGGGTGGTCCAGGCACTCAGAGCAAGAGGCATGGCATCTGCTGACCTTGGCTGCCACAATAAACATGGAAAAGAAGTCACTTGGCTCAGCTGTGAAGCTCTGGGACATTCAACTGCCTTGAGCTACAGATCTCTTGATACATCTCACAGTCAATTAGAAATTAAATGGCAAAATAAAACCACAGAAAAGATAGGCAGCCCTATTTCTCCTTTTCCTAGGACTGAAAGATTAAAACAGAGACTCATAGTTCTCTGAATCTCAAATTCTAACACTAGAAATACTGAAAATTATATACCCGTAGGATTAAACTAACAAGAGAAAGTGCCCTATTTGTGGCTTAAAAGAAGTAGACCACTGGGAAATGGAAGTATATATCCCCCTTTGAGATAACTTTTCTACAGAAAACATACAGAAACCTTCAAAATACCCTATTGCATTAACACTATAATTCAGAAGGACGTTGCATCTTAGATATAGGAGCAATTGGTTTTAGACATAAGGGAAATTGTAGGTGATATGAAATAAAATGGAAGCAGTAAATGAAGGAGTTATATATCACAGGAAAATCCTGCAGAAAATTGGCAGTCCAACTTGAGAAACTTCCCCAGAACTCAGAGGAGAAAGATATCATGATGACGGATGAAAGAAGAGATGTGAAAGGCCATATCACAGTGGCATGGACTAGTCTAGGAGTCCCTCAGGTCTGGGTTTGAATCCTGGCTCTGCCGCTTACTAAATAAGCAATCTAGGAAATTATGTAGCCTTCCTAAGCCTTATTTTCCTCATCTGTAAATCTGAATCAATAATAATAGGACAGGGGGTAGTGGTCACACCTGTAATCCCAGCACTTTGGGAAACTGAAGCAGGAAGATCACTGGAGCCCAGGAGTTTGAGGCTGCAGTGAGCTATGATTATGCCACTGCACTCCAGCCTGGGCAACAGAGCAAGATCCTGTGCCTAAAAAAAAAATAATTTTTAAAAAGAATAGTATCTGAGCAGTAGGGATTGGTGTAAGATTTAAATGACAACAACAGGGCCTGGCACTTAAAAACACTCAATAAATGTTACTGGTGATGCTGTTGTTGGTGCTGATTAAAATGATGACATGAATGACAATGAGCTTGTAAATATACTTGTAATAAGGAAAGCAGAAGGATAGAATAAAGTAGATGATGCCATAATAAATGTTTTGACTACAAGTAATAGCAAACCCACTAAAGCAACTTAACAATAAGGAAACTTGTTAACTCACACACAAAAAAGAAGTCCCAAGGGAGGGCAGCCTCTCAACCACATCAAGATCTAAATTCTTTCCATTTCTATATTCTACCAGCTCAGAGTCAGCTGCTCCCTTCAAGTTTGCCAGATGGCTTCAATAGCTACAGGCTTTATATACATCCCCCCACACCAAAATCCACACCAAGACAGGGACTTTTTCCTCACATTCCTCTTTTAGAAGCAAAGAAACCTTGACCAGAAGCACTTCTAACCTAACGGACTTCCCACGTTGTCTCATAGATCAAAATTAAGCTCCATGCTTACCCCTGAACAAAGAGAACAGAGAATCGGACTGTTGTGATGTACATTTTGCAGTCTAGGTGCTATAGCAGTTGGCATATCATTATTATTATTATTTTTATTTTTTGAGACAGAGTCTCACTCTATCGCCCAGGCTGGAGTGCAATGGCACCATCTTGGCTCACTGCAACCTCCTCCTCCTGCATTCAGGCGATTCTCCTGCCTCAGCCTCCCGTGTAGCTGGAACTACAGGCAGGAGCCACCATGCCCAGCTAATTTTTGCATTTTTAGTAGAGACGGGGGTTTGTCATGTTGGTCAGGCTGGTCTCGAACTCCTAACCTCAAGTGATCCGCCTGCCTTGGCCTCCCCAAGTGCTGGGATTACAGCTGAGGGCCACTCTGTCTGGCTGGTGTATCATGATTAACATACAAAACTAGACTTTTGGCAAGCCGTATTCTCTGGCTGCAAGGTAATGTTTACATTAGCAATGCATTCAGCCGCAAATAACAAAAAACACAGCCAGCAGCAGCTGGGCATTCATTTGACTTACATCATGATCATCAGTCTTGCTGGTACAACGATGCCATCGGGGACACAGATCCTTTCTATCTTTCTGCCCTGTCATTCTTAGCCTGTTAGATTTTATCCTTATGCTTTCCTTTTCTCGTACCTCCAGACATAACCCTTGCATGTCAGTGAGGAGGAAAGGGAAAAGGCAAATGGGTTTTCTGCTGGTAAGTCTTTGCCTTTTTGTTCAGAGGGTACTCTGTCTCCAAGGACCTGCATCTCCATCTCTCTAGACAGAGCCAGGTAACTTGCCCTAACTAGCTGCAGGAAATACTTGAGCAATTTTAGCTGGAAAACATTGAGCAGTTTTAGCCAGTAGTTTGCTGCCTTCAACAAAACCTGAGCTCAGTTACTAGAGAAAAACAGAAGAAATAGGTGAGACTTGACATCAAAAAGGAGCCTGGCACTTTTAGAAGTCAAACTTCTTGCAAATTTAAAATCAGTCTCCTTAGTAATCCCTGGATGTAAGAAGGAGTAAGAACTGTAATACCATCTATACCAATTGCAATAGTCATACTACATGCAGAAGCACATGGAAAGAATCCCACAGTACTCAGGAAAAGATTTAGGACTTTAAGAACTTTTATTATTAAGTTTTTAAAAAATGAAAATAAATTAATTGAAGAAATTAGAAAAAGAACACAAAATTAATCTATGAAAGCAGTGGTGGGAATTAGTCATGGTAAAAACAGAAAACAATTAATTGTGAAATTAAAAAGAAATAGAATTGATAAATAAATACCAAGGCTGTTCTTTGAAAAGAACAGTAAAAGACACAAATCATAGGAAAGTCTAACCAAGGAAAACTGGAATGAAATGAAAATATGATGAATGAGAAATGGAATATAATCACAGAGATAAAGGAAAATTTTCAGTTAGGAGATAATATCATTATACAATTTTTAACAATAAATGAAATGATTTTGATCGAACTAGTAATCTCTATACAGGTATAAATCATCACAACTGACTCAAGGATAAATTATTTTTCAAAACAAAAAAAAGTAGGAAATATCAATAGAGAAGAAAAAAATCTCAATTTTTTAATAGAACTGGGATAGCTATATCCCAATTTCTTTGGTTTGTACATAGGTGCATATGTATAAATATGTATGGTTTATTTGGTTTGTATATATGTATAAATATGTTCATATGTAAAATGATCATTACAAAATATATCAAAATATCACATAAATATAAATATAATTTTTAAAAATATAAATATGTGATATTTTGATATAAGCATACAAGTTGTAGTGATCAAATCAGGATAATTATGATAACCATTATCTCAAGCATTTGTCATTTCTTTGTGTGAGGAACTTCCAATTCCACTCTTTTCGTTATTTTGAAATATATAATAACCAGGCACAGTGGCTCCTGCCTGTAATCCCAGCAACTCAGGAGGCTGAGGTGGGAGGATGTCTTGAGCTCAGGAGTTCAAGACCAGCTTGGGCGAAGTAGTGAGACCTTGTATCTTAAAAAAAAAAAAAAAAAAAAATTTAATTAGCTGGGCCCACCTATAGTCCCAGCTACTTAGGAAGCTGAGGCAGGAGGATTGCTGGAGCCCAGGAGTTGAAGCCTGCAGTGAGCTATGATTGCACCACTGCACTCCTACCTGGGGGACAGAACCAGACCCTGTCTAAATAAATAAATA
This sequence comes from Homo sapiens, assembly GCF_000001405.40. Taxonomy (NCBI): domain Eukaryota; kingdom Metazoa; phylum Chordata; class Mammalia; order Primates; family Hominidae; genus Homo; species Homo sapiens. Next base: position 31,193,063 of record NC_000008.11, on the reverse strand, counting down.
AATAAATTTAATTCAATACATACAATAGTAAGAGACACTTTTTTACCTATCAGCTTGGCAAAATGCAAAAAGGTGGTAACACCAAGAACTGATGAGGGTGAGGAAAAGACCACTTTCTGGAGGACAATTTGTTAGTACATATCAATAGCCATCAAATGGGAAGTTTTGACCCTGCAAGTCTATATACAGGTACTTGTACCAAGGTTTTTGTTTTTAAAAAGTATTTAAAAGGATGTCCATTGCAGCCTTGCTTCTAATAGTGAAAAGAAATAGGAAAATTCGAACTATCCAAAAATAGGACACAAGTTAGATAAAGCATGGTACATCATACAACAGAATGCTGTGTGACCATTACAAATGGCATTGGGGACATGATGAGATATCAAAACATTTTTCAAAGTTGATTTCAAAACAAAACAGCTAACGGGCGCAGTGGCTCACGCCTGTAATCCCAGCACTTTGGGAGGCCAAGGAGGGCAGATCACCCCGTCTCTACTAAAAATACAAAATTAGCTGGGCATGGTGGCGCTTGCCTGTAATCCCAGCTGCTTGGGAGGCTGAGGCGGGAGAATCACTTGAACCCGGAGGTGGAGGTTGCAGTGAGATGAGATCACGTCATTGCACTCCAGCCTGAGAGACAAGAGCAAAACTTTCTCTCAAAACAAAACAAAACAAAAAACACCAGCAAAACCCCTATTTGAAACCATGGTTAATTCTGAGTAGGCTGATTATAGAAACTCATTTTTCTAATTGAACTTTTAATTTTGTATATTGTATTTGCAACTTTTAATTTAAGGAAAATTAATGAGTACATGAATAGAAAACCCTGCTCAAAAAAAGCCTGTTGAGTCAGTTTTACAGGATGATTTGAACAATGAGAGACTCAGCATGTATTAGTCTGTTAGGGCTACCACAACGAAATACCACTGGCTGGGTGGCTTAGACAGCAGACATTTATTTTCTCACAGTTTCTAGATGCTGGAAGCCCAAGCTCAGGATGTCAGTAGGGTTGGTTTCTTCTGAGGCCTCTCTCCTTGGCTTGCAGATGGCTGTCTTCTCCCTGTGTCCTCACTCAGCCTTTCCTCTGTGTCTGTGTCTCTGTCCTAATGTCTTCTTCTAATAACACCAGGCGGGGAGTGGTGGCTCACGCCTGTAATCCCAGCACTTTGGGAGGCCAAGGCAGGCAACTCACTTGAGGTCAGGAGTTCGAGACCAGCCTGGGCAACACGATGAAACCCTGTCTCTATTTGGAAATCATCATTCTCAGTAAACTATCGCAAGAACAAAAAACCAAACACCGCATATTCTCACTCATAGGTGGGAATTGAACAATGAGAACACATGGACACAGGAAGGGGAACATCACACTCTGGGGACTGTTGTGGGTTGGGGGGAGGGGGGAGGGATAGCATTGGGAGATATACCTAATGCTAGATGACGAGTTAGTGGGTGCAGCGCACCAGCATGGCACACATATACATATGTAACTAACCTGCACGTTGTGCACATGTACCCTAAAACTTAAAGTAAAAAAATAAAATAAAATAAAAAAAGATTAAAAATAAATAAATAAAAAATAAAAACTTCAAAAAAAAATTACAAAACAATTAGCTGAATGTGGTGGCACGTGCCTGTAATCCCAGCTGCTCGGGAGGCTGAGGCAGGAGAATTGCTTGAACCTGGGAAGTGGAGGTTGCAGTGAGCCGAGGTCGTGTCACTGCACTCCAGCCTAGGTGACAGAGACTCCATCTCAAAACAAAAACAAACACAAAAACACTAGTCATACTGGATTAGGACCCACTGTAATGACGTAGTTTTATTTATTTATTTTAATTTGTAGAGATGGGATACATGTGCAATTTTGTTACATGCATAGATTGCATAGTGGTCAGGTCTAGGCTTTTAGTAATGGCCTCATCTTAATTCACTCTTTAAAGAATCTACAGTTACATCCTGAGGCACTGGGGGCTAGGACTTCAAGATCTGAACTGGGGAGAGACACAAGTCTGCCCATAACTCAGGGGTTATCCTGGGAGTGCAGTTGTCCCACCTGGGGATGGGTGGCCTGGTTCCATTCTAGGATGGTAAGCAGCATGTCACTTACCCTGAGCTTTGGAGGCGCTCTCTGCAGAAGTGCAGTTCTTTCTTCTAGGCACTTAAAAATATATATTATTATTATTTGAGACAGAGTGGAGTGCAGTAGTGCGATCTCCACTCACTGCAACCTCCACCTCCCAGGTTCAAGTGATTCTCCTCCCTCAGCCTCTGGAGTATCTGGGATTTCAGGCATGCACCACTAGGACTGGCTAATTTTTGTATGTTTTGTAGAATCAGGGTTTCGCCATGTGGGCCAGGCTGGTCTTAAACTCCTGATCTCAAGTGATCCACCCTTGCCTCAGCCTCCGATAGTGTTGGGATTACAGGCATGAGCCACTGTGTCTGGCTCTTCAAGGCACTTGGAATCCAAGTTTGAAGACTAGAGGAGGCCATGAGATTCACTGAACAAGGATTAAGCATTGCTCTCATTCTGTCTGTGAGGCTGTGGGCTGAGTTCTCTGTTGGTTAGCAGACAAGGGAATAGGGAGGAAAGTTAAAAAAAAAAAAAACCCTTTTTAGATTAGAGGGAGCCATAAAATGTTCTCACTACAGGTCAAAGGAAGTTCCAATTGAGAGCAGAGAAGTCAATTCAATTACACCCTGCACATAGGGACTGACAGATTTCGATTCCAGTTCCTGTTGCTCTATAAATGAATAAACAAATTCCAGCTTCTCGGTGGCTGGTAGAAACTGGCCCACAGTGGACATCCCTCCCGTCCCCTGCAACTCTCAACACATCAGACACATACCCGAAGCCCAGAGCCTTCTAAAGCTCTGGGGTCCTAGACTTGCATCTGTTGCCTTTAAAAGACACTATTCCTTCTACATGATGCAAAGTAGTCATTTCAGGCAAAAATATCATCCTTAACTGCACACTGCTTTAAAGGTTTTGAAATGTATTCTGAACAACAAAATCAATTATTGACAAGGCAAAGCCAGTCCTAGAACAGGAAACATTCACTTATTGACTCTTTCCCCACAAATCAATACATTCTCTCTTTCCCCCCAAAACAATGAATTTTCTCTTTCCCCACAAATCAATGAATTATCCTTATTGCATTCTGGTTTTTTTTTTTCCTGCATGTGAGCAACACAATGAATGAAGTCCACGACCTGAGAGTCAGAATTCTCTTTAACATAATAAAGGTAGAGACAGGCATCTACGAATATGATTTCCCCAAAGCCTGGAGTGTGTTTATCTGTGTGTGTATACATCTGTGCACATGTAGGTACACACGCACACACACACAAATGCTGATAACTGGAGAATTCTGCAATGGGGTGAATTTGAACAATGACTCCATGTTATCCTGGGTCTGCAGTTATTAAGGAGAGTATTTTGTTCAAGAGAGAAAAGAAGCCACTATCCTAAAGCAAGGAGATGCTAATTCTGTCCAGATTCCCAAACAAGCACTCATCTTTCTTTATCTTACTATAATGACAGCCTCACTCTGATTCACTTTCCTGTTCTTAGGAGGCAGCTCTCCTCCAGTGCGGCCTTGGAAGGAGATCCTACGGCTGCCACCAGGCGCATCGCATTCCCTCCTCTCCATCTTGATGCCGAGTCTTCCCGGGTGTGATCTGCTTATCACGCATCCCCTCTAACAGCTCTGAGACCAGCTTCCTTGACTTGCACTGTGAGACCAGTGGCTGGTCTGTTTCCGTTGAGTGGGGGCCCTCTTGACTGACACAGTTCCTTGGCCCATTCTTTCCCCTCCCCTTGAGAAGTCTACTGTCTAGGGCAGGGGTACCCAGGCCCCAGCCACAAAGCAAGAGGTGAGCGGCTTCAACTGTATTTACAGCAGTTCCCCATCCATCACATTACCACTTGAGCTCCACCCCCTGTCAGATCAGCAGCAGCGTTAGATTCTTACAGGAGCATGAGCCCTATTGTGAACTGTGTATGCGAGGGATCTAGGTTGCATGTTCCTTAAGAGAATCTAATGCCTGATGATCTGCCACTGTGTCCCATCACCCCCAGATGGGACTGTCTAGTTGCAGGAAAACAAGCTCAGGGCTCCCACTGATTAGACATTATGGTGTGTTGTATAATTATTCTATACTACAATGTAATAATAATAACAAGGTACACAATAAACGTATTATAATGCACTTGAATTATTCCAAAACCATCCCCCCCTCCCCACCCATGGTCCATGGAAAAACTGTCTCCCACAAAACCAGTCCCTGGTGCCAAAAAGGTTGGGGACCTCTGGTTTAGGGAATCAATGGAGTTCTCTCACTGAGGTTACCACAGGAGGACATCACCAAGGATGGGAGAGAGTTTCTCACAGGATAGTGCAAAGGTGGCCGTGATGGCACCCACAGGTACCTGGATCCTCCAGGGTCAGCTAGGACTGCATTTGAAGCAGCTGAACTGCTATCAACTAACTCCCTTCCCGTGTTCTAGCAGATGAGAACTGATTCCTAAATATACATGTGCACTTCTCGGGAGTCTGGAAACACTTGGGAAGGAGAATTGCAAAAAATGACAGACTTCCTGCCAGTAAGTGCTGGGGTTTCAAGCCATTGCATTGGCACCATGATCGTATTTTCTCATTTGTACTCACGACCCACGAAAGCTGCGCATGACAATGTATTCATTCATTCATTCACACGTTTGCTCACTCTACAAAGAATCACTGAGTTACTAGCATGTGCCAGAACTGATTTGTCTTAGTCTGTTTTTGCTGTTTTCATAACAAAATGCCACAGACTGGGCAATTTACAAACAACAGTAGTTTATTTCTCATAGTTCTGGAGGCTGGAGGTCCAAGATCAAGGCGCCAGTAGGTTCAGTGTCTGGTGAGGGCTGCTCTCTGCTTCCAAAATGGAGGCTTGTCGCTGTGTCCTTCAGAGGGGACACACGCTGTGTCCTCACATGGCAGAAGGGAAGGAAAGGTGAACTCTCCGTTCCTTATAGAGGACTCAAGTCCTGTTATAAGACCCTAATCCCATCCATGAGGACTCTGCCCTCATGGCCTAATTACCTTCTAAAAGGTTCTTCAACTCTTATATAGGGGATTAAGTTTCAACATACATTTTGGAAGGGACACAAACATTCAAAACATAGCAGTTATGTTCCATTCTAGGTATTCAGCTGTGAATAAGTCCAAGTCCCCACCCTCATCAAATTACATTCTAGTGGGAGAAACAGAGCTGTGCTGTCCAATACAATAGCCACCAGCCACATATGGCTATTTCTCTTTTTTTTGGACAGAGTGTCACTCTTTTGCCCAGGTTGGAGTGAAGTGGTGCAATCTCGGCTCACTGCAACCTCCACCCTCCAGGTTCAAGTGATTCTCCTGCCTCAGCCTCCCGAGTAGCTGGGATTACAGGCGCGTGCCACCACACCCGGCTAATTTTTGTATTTTTAGTAGAGATGGGGTTTCACCATGTTGGCCAGGCTGGTCCCGAACTCTTGACCTCAGGTGATCCACCCGCCTCAGCCTCCCAAAGTGCTGGGATTACAGGTGTGAGCCAAACATGTGGCTATTTCAATGTAAATTAATTTAAATTGCATTCAACTAAAATTGTAGTGTGTCAATTGCACTAGCCACATTATATAGTGCTCAATAACGACGCTATAAATACATGTGGCTCGTGGCTACCATATTGGACAGCACAGAATTATAGAACATTATCACAGAACCTCAGGACCACAGGACGTGAGAGGATAGGCTGGGATAGACGGTAGCGGCGCTGGAACCGTTTTTGGTATGGTAGTTAAGGAAGGCTTCTCTAGAGAGATGACATTTGAGTGAAGGTCTGAACTATTACACCATTAAAAAAAAATCTAATGATAACCTTAGCAAGAAATGTCAAGGACCTATATGAAAATAATGCTAAAACTTTCCTTATTGAACCGAATTTTGAAGGCCAAAGAAATCAAGAAGTGTAGCTGGTAGACCTGAAGTCTGGGCAAGGGAGAAAAATGAGTGGAAAGAAAACGAACAAGTGTGCAGGTGGGTAGCAGGATAGCAGGAAGGCCTGAGCCCCAGATCCCCACCCAGGACACCCCCTGTGCTGCTTGCTGATTCCCGATCTTGACACACCCCACTCTGGTTCAGTCAATACCTTGTTACTAGCTGGGCACGGTGGCTCACGCCTGTAATCCTAGCACTTTCGGAGGCTGAGGCGGGCAGATCATTTGAGGTCAGGAGTTCGAGACCAGCCTGGCCAACATGATGAAACCCCATCTCTACTAAAAATACAGAAATTAGCCAGGTGTGGTGGCACACGCCTGTAGTCCCAGCTACTCAGGAGGCTGAGGCAGGAGAATCGCTAGAACCCGGGAGGTAGAGGTTGCAGCGAGCCAAGATCGCGCCACTGTACTCCAAACTGGGCAACAGAGTGAGACTCCGTTTAAAAAAAAAAAAAAAAAACCTTGTTACTCCCCCGCATGCCATTCCACGCCTTTTACGCCCCTGCTCTTCTGGCCTTTCCCCTGTTCTCCATCTGGCTATTTCTTTTCTTTTTCTTTTTTCTTTTTTTTGAGGTGGAGTCTCGCTCTATCGCCCAGGCTGGAGTGCAGTGGTGTGGTCTCGGCTCACTGCAACGTCCGCCTCCCGGGTTCAAGGAATTCTCCAGTTTCAACCTCCCCAGTAGCTGGGATTACAGGCGCATGCCACCACGCCCAGCTGATTTTTTTTTTATTTTTAGTAGAGATGGGGTTTCATCATGTTGGCCATGCTGGTCTCAAACTCCTGACCTCTTCCTTTTTTCTTTCTTTTTTAAGATAGGGTCTCACTCTGTCGCCCGGGCTGGAGTGCAGCCATCACGACTCACTGCAGCCTCAACCTCTCAGGCTCAAGTGATCCTCCCACCTCAGCCTCCAGAGTAGCTGGGACTACAGGCATGCACCACCATACCCAGCTAATTTTTGTATTTTTTGTAGAGATGGGGTTTCATCATGTTGCCCCGACTGGACTCAAACTCCTGACTTTGTCAAGCGACTTGCCCGCCTCAGCCTCCCAAAGTGCTGGGATTACAGCCGTGAGCCACCATGCCTGGCGGCTATTTCTTATTTACACTCCTTAGATGGTCCAGATATCATCTTCTCAGAAGCCCTTCCTGCTCCAGCAGGCTAGGTCTGAGTTCTGTTTCCAGAAGCTGCCCTAAGCCCCAGAGCTACCAAATTTGGAGATGTGGGGGATTTGCATATTTGTCGGAAAGGGCCTCGTCTTCCCATCTATGTAACCAGAATGTCCAGCACACCACAGAGGCAGAGCTACTTTCTTCGTGCTGGTTGTCAGGTTTGCTCTTCTCCAGACCAGCTGAGGTTAGAAGCTTAAAATCGGCTGAGCTCCCCATCGTCTGTGACAGAGACATCCAATGCCCTCACCTGATTCCCCTGATTTTCACATTATTTTGTCCGCCAAAAAACCTGTATTGATAAATGGACCAAAACCAAACACAACCAAATCAAAATGCTCTTTGATTTTCCAGTGCCATAAACCCGAAATTACCAAATCTGACCAGTAGATGGTGCTCTTGAACCAAAGAGGTAAAAAGTTCAGTTCCTCTCTGTGTGAGAATGAGTCTAATTAGGGAAAAAGCCGAAAGGCTTTTGGTGGATGCTTAAAACAGTATACAATTCACGCGAGTCATTAAAAATAATAAACTGTCCCTATTAAGACCCAAAACAAAGAGAGTCTAGGGGGCTTGCCAAATCCCACCCACATCTTCTCTAAGGGTTACAGAGTTCCAGCAGCCACCGTCCTCCTTGTTCCTCTTGCAAGTTCAGCGCTTCCTCCGCATCTTAAATGTCCCTCCCCTTACTCAGTAAGCTTTGGAGGAAATTTAAAGTAATTTTTATTCTGTGACTTTCAGACTGTGATTTACCAGATAACTAATTCATGAGCCAGAATATTTCATGAACTTTCGGTTATTTGATTATTCCAGTTATGTTCTTTAAAGGTTCTGCAATGCCCATATCTTGTATCCGTTGTTCATGAAAAGCAAGCATTACTCTGGCACCTCAAGAAATCTAGCCCCGTGCCCTTAATTAAACATGAAAATTATCTAACTGCCCTTTCTTTGACCAAACCAGTAGGCAGCCTTCAGACTATAACGTGGCTTCCCGGATAGCTTTTCTATGGGCAAAGGATGAGAACAGCTGGCTTTTATTATTCCTGCGCTGTGCTAAATGCTGCACCACATTCAATTCTCCAACGACTTTAGCTAAGTTTCTATTTCCTCTTACACACAATGGTGTTAATAAAAGAGACTTACAGTGGATCGACTTGCTCAAAGTTGCAGTTACATGTGGTCAAACCCAGGCTAATTCCAGAGCTCAACCCTCACTCTCTCAGCAAGGCGTTTCCTGTCCCAAATTGAAATAGTCCAAACCCCTTCCCTGCTGTGTCCTCCTATCGCTTTACCACCATCTAAGGAAGAATGTTTCACTTTTTTTGTTCATTGCTGTATTCCAGCACCTACAACAACAGTGCCTGGCACATAGTAAGTGCTCAATAAATATTTGTTGAATATTTACTTCTGTCTCTGTCAACTTGGATAATGAGTCTGAATCTGCACCTGTAAGAAGGATCCACTTGGGGTGCTGACACCCGATTTTTAATCAAGGTCAGTAAAGGGCCACACACCGGACTGCTGTGATTTTGCCAAGTATTATCTAGAGAGACAGGCTGCTTCTCTCTGGACACCCAGCCACTGACGCTGTGCCTTTTCTGTCTGCTAATTCCATAGCGACAGCTGAGTGAATACCAACCATGTGTGACAGCAATTGTTAAATGGTCTACAGGCATTGTGTCTAATCCCAGCAACGTCTCTGCATGTTACAAACGAGGCTCAGAGTGTCTAAGTAATTTGTCCAAAGTCCCCTAGCTAGGAGATGGCAGAGCTGTGGCCTTTACTGAATGTGTGGCTGACTGCTGAGGTCCAGGGGTAGTAATAAAGGGATGCTGTGTGGGAGACCAGATACAACCTGGACATCTTAACAGAGGCCAACATGAAGGGTAACTGGTCCAAGGACCAGATGGGATTGCGGATCTCAGTGGATACCTGCCTAGGAGGCAGAGATGATGAGGGTCCCTGTGCGTCCCTAGTTGCCAAAGCTTTGACCAGAATCCCGAAGCACTTAGGCATCCCCATTCATTGATTTATTCATGTTTATTTATTCAGCAGTTATTTACTGAGTTCCTGCTGTGTGCCAGGCATTTCTCCAGGTGCTAAAGACACAGCAGTGAACAAAACAGACAAGAATCCCCGCTGTCAAGGAGCTTCCAGTCTAGTAGAGGGAGATCATCTATCAACATCATAAATAAGTATTGGAACAGGTAAGAGAGAATGGGACAAGGTATGGAGATTTTAAGTAAGTTACTCATGGTATAGTTCAATAAACTAGGAGTTGGCGGGGTTTGCCTGTGGTTATCTGGGGGAACAGCACAGCAGGTGAAAAGAGCAGTCAGGGCAAATGCATGTTACTTGGGCAGCACTAGTTGGTGAAATCACATTCTCCCCTAAGACACAGCATGCCTGGTGTCTTCCAGAAACAGTACAGGGTCTGGTATGGGTGAAGCAAAGGGAAGGACAGGGAGATGGAGTGACAGCAAGATGGTAGAAGATGAGCCCGAGAGGGACTGAGGACAGATCCCAGCAGGGCTTGCAGGCCTCTGTCGGAGCTTCAGGAGGAGGGGGAAACTTGAAGTGATCCAGCCTACCCAAAATACACCAAGATGACATTTTTTTTTTTTTTTTTTTTTTTTTTTTTTTACTATCAGGAGGAATTGGGGTTTAAAATAAGAGATTTCTGGGCAGGTATGGTGGCTCACACCTGCAATCCCGGCACTTTAGGAGGCCAAGGTGGGAGGATCACTTGAGGCCAAGAGTTCAAGACTAGCCTGGGCAGTACAGCAAGATCCTATGTCTACACAGAATTTAAAAATCAGCTAGGAGTGGTGGTATGCGCCTGTAGTCCCAGCTACTCAGGATGCTGAGATAAGAGGACTGCTTGAGCCCAGGAGTTCAAGGCTGCAGTGAGCTATGATTGTGCCACTGCAACTCCAGCTTGGGCAACAGAGCGAGACCCTATCTCTAAAAAATAAATAAAATAAAAGTGACTTCTGAGATATGGAAAGTAAAAGCAACATTTTTGAGTCGTTGAATTTGAAGCTTGTGGAATTCTATCTACCACGTACATAAAGGTAATATTTTACTTTTATTTTGCAAAATGTCTACGAGGGAAGAAAATCTTTCCCCCTACAAAATCCACACATAGCTCTGATAAGCAGTTCTAATAAGCTTGTTAGTCACGGTGTTCACTAAATAGCTTTTCGTTGTTGGGTTGTTTGGGTTTTTGTTTTGTTGCAATTTCATAAATTTAGCACCACTATGGGACGCTGGCACCAACATGTGATAAAAACATTGACTTAAGTTTCTTTTCTCATGTCTGCTTTTGCAGTTTAATAGTTTGGAATGGACACCAAATGAGTCATTAATGGATAAGTGGGGATCTCCCTCTCTGAAGAAAATGTTCATGCCTGTTATTTTGTAACAAACGAACATGGATATGAATCATGGAGAAAAACATATTGCTATGTGGCTGTTTGTCTAGACCACTGGGTCTCACCACCTGTTGAGTTGGTATTGGATCACTTGACCCCAGGAGTTTGAAACCAGCCTAGGCAACATAGTGAGACCCCGTCTCTAAAAAAAAAAAAATTGTTTTGTTTTTAATTAGCCAGGCATGGTCGTGTGCACCTGTGGTCCCAGCTACTCAGGAGGCTGAGGCAGGAAGAACATTTGAGTCCAAGAGTTTGAGACTGCAGTGAACCAAGATCATGCCACTGCACTCCAGCCTGGGTGACAGAGTGAGACCCTCTCTCCAAAAAATAAAAATAAAAAAGAGTTGGTATTGAATGAATGGTGTGTGGCTGTAGTCAGACAAACTTAGTGAGAAGATGAGGAAGGCAAAAAAACAAAAACAGTAAGCAAAAATAACGGTAAAATATATTGGTCCACTATATCAATATTGACTAAAAAAACATACATTTTTGTCTTTAAAAAGTGGAAGTAAAATTGTAAATAACAGAAAACTAGGAATTATTGTATACACAGAAAACCAGGAAGGAAACATTCAGAGAACAGTGGAAACTCGTTGAGGTCCTCGTGTCCAAGAGAACAGACAGGCCCACCTCTAATATATTTTTGGGACCCAAGACAAAGGAACAAATGGAAGCCTAAATATGAAATATATAAATATGTCAGGCTAACCCCATTTCAATACATTCTAGCCTCCTACCTAGACAAATACATAACAACCTGTAAGACCAGATTTGAATTTCAAATGCTCGGATTCCTTAGGATTCTGTCCTGTTGGTGCAGGGAGAATCAGCCCATGGACACAACCCACTCCTCCTCCTCTGGCTTCACTCTGCACCACCAAGAGGCTCCTGTGCATACGGACACTCGGCCTGGACATCAAGTCTTGTCCATAACCTCTGCAAACAACCATTCTTTGATCGTCTTTTGTTGGAGGCCGAAAGAGTGAGGGTCGTGATCAACTCAGTAAATCACTGGTGGCTGTGTAAGTAAGCAGCAAACTGTTCTCATGAAAGCAGGTTGTTAGCAAACTGACAAACTGCATCTGCCGCCCAGAAGGAATGCTGAGGGCAGTCATGCCCAGGCGCAAGTGTTTCTTGTGATCAGGCACATCTGAAGCCTGTTAGCAATAATATGAACCTGTGATCAATCCAGCAGCTGACCAATCATTACCTCCTCCTCCCTGCTCTTTCTACTCAATAAATACGAAGGGCTGTAGAAGCTCAGGGTGGCTGCCTTTGCTCATTAGAAGCAGGGAGCCCTCTTCTTCTTCCCTCGGCCCCTCTCATTAAAAGTTACTTTTGTCTTAAGTTTTCATTTCTGCATTCATCCCCCTTCATTCAGTCTCGTAGTAACTGTCACAATCTTTCAGACCAAGAAACGAACTCATCAGATGGGGAAACAAGGCCAGAAGCCCCTGCAGCCCCTGGAGGCTCACGAGTGTTTGGGCCAGGCATTCTGGGGTCCTGTGTACTGCAAGCATGGTCTAGAGGATGGAGACAGGTGTGAGCTAGTGAGCACATCCCCTGGCCCCAAGGATTCTTCATCTCATGGAAAAGGTGGAGGACGTCTTCTCTTGAAGGCTCAGCTGCTGGAGAGTTTAGCGGACGTAGGTAGTCAGGTCCATGGCAGCACCAGGATGAGCACCCACTGGTGTCATAGAGTTCTCCCAGCCTCAGTGCTGGAAAGGATTCGGTCCACCTATTCAGCTTTTCCTTGATTCTTTGGGGGCCAAGAAGATCTAACATACTCTAGGAAACCAGGACCAAAAGTTCCCTTGAGGTCCAAGAATCTCCTTAAAATCCTTCACGTTCATATCCTTGCCCTGGGGCTTTCCAGCCCTCCAGCCAGCACCCTAACATCCTGCTTGCCTGCCAGTCCTGGGCATCAAGAGATGGCTCAAGAGAGGTGTATGGAGGCTGACATTCAGAATGGAGAGAAAGCAAATGTAATGGTTGCCCATCATCCCAGAAAGCCTGGCCCACTATATATTTTTTAAAAGCAGGGCCATGTGTTGTGGCTCATGCCTGCAATCCCAGTGCTTTGGGAGGCTGAGGCCAAGAGTTTGAGACTCTTCCGGGCAACACAGGAAGACCCCATCTCTACAAAAATATTAGCTGGGTATGAAGGCACATGCCTGTCATCTCAGTACTCAGAGGCTGAGGCTAGTTGATTGCTTGAGTCCAGGAGTTTGAGACTGCAGTGAGCTATGATCACACCACTGCACTTCAGTCTAGTGAGAGTGAGACCCTGCCTCTAAAAATAAATAAACAAATAAATAGGCTGGGCATGGTGGCTCATGCCTGTAATCCCAGCTCTTTGAAAGGTCAAGGCGGGAGAATCACTTGATCCTAGGAGCTCACAACCAGCCTGGACAACATAGGAAGATCCCATCTCTATTTTTAAAAAAGTTTTTAAAATTTAAAATAATAAATGCAATATACATTTGATTTAACAGAGATTATAGAAACTTAAACAGCTGGCCCTTCCACCCTTCTAATTGAGGTGGGAGGATCACTTAATCCCAGGAGTTTGAGACCAGCCTGGGTAACAAAGGGAGTCCCTGTCTCTATTTTTTATAGAGTTCTTAAAATTTTAACTAAAAGAATAAATGCAATATATATTGATTTAAAAGACATGGAGATTATAAAAATGTAAATAGCCCTTTCCACCTTTCCAATTCCACTCCCCTAAAATAACAAATGTTAATGATTAGGAGTGTTTCAGTCCATAACTTTAAAAAAAAAAAAAGCGCAAATCTTTCACATGATCTCCTCTTTTTTTCATTCAGAGAGTCCATTTTTTCTCATATCTTATTATGTGAAGTAAATGTTTTCTTTTTTTCTTTTTTCTTTTTTTTTTTTTTGAGTCGGAGTCTCGCTCTGTTGCCCAGGCTGGAGCACAATGGCCTGATCTCAGCTCACTGCAACCTCTGCCTCCCAGGTTCAAGCGATTCTCCTGCCTCAGCCTCCTGAGTAGCTGGGATCACAGGCACACACCACCACGCCAGGCTAATTTTTGTATTTTTAGTAGAGACACAGTTTCACCATACTGGCCAGTCTGGTTTCGAACTTCTGACCTCGTGATGCACCCGCCTCGCCCTCCCAAAGTGCTGGGATTACAGGCGTAAGCCACCGCGCCCGGCTGAAGTAAATGTTTTCTTTAAAATGTTTTGTTTCTTGTAGAAAAGTTGTTTGTGGATGTTTTTTCATTGAATCTTCAGAGTAAATCTGTCCCTCTTAAGCATGAGATCTGTGTTGCATTTTCTTCCATTTATTCCATCTTTCGTGTGTCTAGCATGTTGTCTTGCATGCTACAAATGCAAATGTTTACTGAATGAAGACATAAATAAGTATAATACATACTTGTCAATTTTTAAACATTGAGTTAGAAAATAAAGCTGATTATGAGGCTAAAGTTTAATTAATTTTCTGAGACATAATTAAAGCTCTGGGTTTTAATGAATCGATATTAATAGAATATAGTAATTGTAGTAATTTAGTACTGATTAAGAGTAACCTATTAGATATCTTTCTCTTGCAAGTGAAATCTGTTTAAATACTTCTATGCAATAACAAAGTTAAACATTCATATGAAATATCTCCAATAATAAAGGCAAATACCTTTCAAATGGCAGGGTTTCTACTTAAAAATCACAAGCAGATACTAATTTTTCAATGATATATTTTACATTGGAGTCACAAGAGTAATCTGTTACTTGAGTAGGATAAATTATCTCAAGCATTACAAATGCTTAAATATCAAATATGTACTTATTAGTCCTTAATCCTAAAACATAACTACCAAAGGTTTAATTTATTCTATATTCTACTTATGTCTACATTTTCTCAAGGTTTAAACACATTTACCCAGTAAGGAAACAAGTACATTATCTCAAATGATTTAGGGATTATGTTCCCAACCAAAATCTGGTAAATAACTTTTCAGATAGCTGAGACTGCTGAAGTCAGCTACCCCATCAAGGCTATAACTAACCTTCTTCACTGTTTCTGTGGTTTTGCAATTCTTTTCCATAAGACACTTCAAGTCTATTACACTCAAAAACTACTTTGAGTTCATTCCATTGGATCGTTCATGCTCTTAATTATATGCAACCTATTTGAATAGGAAGAATCCTATATTCTTTTCTTATTCTATCTGGTAGGGCTACAGCTTTTTTGAATTCCAGGCAACAGTCAGGGCTTTGTCTGAATCTATGGTCACAGGCTACACCTGGGGAATTCGCCTTCAGCTCACCTGTTCCTGTAGTAAATATTCCGTAACGTGCCGAGGTCCTTCTGGCCCAGCTACTTGCACCTGGTGATCAGGCAGGTACAATGAGCCAGAGCCTCCAAACACACTCAGGTGGTAGGGAGCGAAACTTAGAAGATAAGTTGGTGCAAAAGTAATTGCTGTTTTTACCTTTAAAGTCCCGCCCCCGCCGGACCTGGAAAAGGATGGAGAGGGGGTCTCGTCTGACTCCGCCCCCCAAGGGGAGGGAGATTTGCCTCTGAGCATGGGAAGCATGACCAGGTTTGGATCTAGGGTGCTGGGGTCCTGGTGGAGCTCCAGTGGGCCCCCTCCCTGCACCCCTGCGATTCATCCAACCTCCCTACACCCTCAAATGACAAGTTCAGCCCCCCAAAACCCCCGGTGACGAGTCCAGCCGTGCTCCCATTCTTCACAAAGGGTGAGGACGGACTTTCAAAGACTCAGAGATCCCACGGGTGTGGGTTGGAGACCTTCCTCTACCGGTTCCCAGCTCCCTTACCTGAGCACACGACTTATGCGCCATTTAATTTTCCATAAGAAATCGCTCTCATGTACTTGTTCTGTGCCATTACTTCTAATGGCAAAAACACCAGTTACTTTTGTTACCAGTGGAGGGTGTCCAGGCTCTTGGTGTCTTGAACTAAGAACTGAACAAAATGCACAAAGCAAGGAAAGAATGAAGCAAAAAAAGCATGCATTTACTGAAAATAAAGTACCCTTCACAGGCTCCAGGACTCAAGAACCAATTAGAGGCTTAAGTGAAACAACCAATCAGAGGATGAATAAAAATTTAAATAGCCCTTCCACCCTTCCACCACTTCCACCACTTCCACCACTTTGTGAAGTCACAACAGGTACACCCTATGCAAGCATCTGATTGGTTGTGGAAAGCAACCAATCAGAGGCTAAAGTGAAGTTACAAAGTTACATTTCTATGCAGGCGACTTGGCCTGCGATCCGTCTGATTGGTTACAAAGTTACATTCCTACGCAGAAGCAACCAGAGATACTTTCAATTTTCCATGTGCCACGCAGAAAGGTGTGGGGGAGGGGCAGTTGAAAGGGAGGAGCCATCTGGTACTTTTGTTATTTAGGTCTGGAAAATTGGGGTTTTCCTTTTGATTTAGTTCTAGGAAGTCAGTGTGAATCGGCCTTAGTTTCCTTGCCTCCAGACCCTATTCTCCTGCCTCACTTTTGCACCAACCTCATACAACAACCCATACAGAACTTGAAGATCCAGGAAGCCTCTGCCTCCATCCAGGAGCCGCTTCATCCTCTACTCGGTGTAACTATCTCTGAGATTCCACATCCTTTGAGATTAAAAACACTTTACATCTTCTGGGTCTGTTGACGGGTCCTTCCACCAATCACATCGCTGTGCTTCTGTGACAACTGAACACAACTGGAAGTGAAAAACAACTCCTCATTCAAAGGGGTTTAACGTAAGTAAAGGGAAGTTAATGTCCCATGTTTCTGAAATATTCAGAGGTAGGGCTCATTTCAGGAAAGGCATGAACCAGCAGCTCAGTTGGCCACACACCTACCCCAGATCCAAACGCTGTTACTAGGGTCTAGCTCAGAAGAGGTCACAGGTGCCAATCCAATATCCAGATGGAAATTATTCTCCTTGGAACGAACCCCAACAAAAATCAAGAGTCACGAAAAATGGGGAAAGAGAGAATTTATGCTGGGAAGGCATAAAGTCCACTACAGATAACATAACAACAACAACAAAATTCTCTCTCTCCCCCTCTGGCTATGATATGGTATGAGACTATACCATATTTCATTTCAAGAATGTTCAAAGCAGCTGGGCATAGTGGTGCACGCCTATAGTCCCAGCTACTCAGGAGGCTGAAGCAGAAGTATCACATGAGCCCAGGAATTCAAGGCTATAGCATGCTATGATCATGTCTGTGAATAGCCACTGCACTCCAACCTGGGCAACACAGCAAGACCCTGACTCATTTTTTAAAAAAGGTCAAAGCAGTGCTGTTTAAAACAAAAAAACTGAAAGCAACTTTAATGTCCAACAATATGAAGTAAGGTACATAATTCATGGTACACCTTTATAATAAAACATTACATCAGCATTTCTCAATCTCTTAGGTCTGAGAACCCTTCCATACTCTTAAAAAAAAATCACTGAGGACCCCAAAGAGCTTTTATTAATATGGGTTATATCTATCACTACCACTTTAGAAATTAAAACAGACATTTAAAAATGTTTCTTGTTTTATTTAAAAATAGCAGTAGTAAACCAAGTACACATTAACATAAATACTTTTAAAAAACATATTTTTAAAAACTGAGAACAGCAGCATTGTTTACATTTTGCAAATCTCATTGTCTGGCTTAACAAAAGTGGCTGTATTCTCAGATCTACTTCTGCATTCAATCCATTTTGATATGCTGTTTTGGCTGAAGTATATGAAAAAAATCTGACTTTGCACAGGCACGTAGTTGGAAAAGAGAAGAGTATTTTAATAGCCTGTTCAGATAATGGTGGACATTGTTCTCTGAAATTTTACCAAAAAGTGGACAAGTAATAGTTTCTTAAAGATTAGTTGCAGTGTGTAATCTGAAACTATATCAATAAACTTTTTCATACTCTGTTATATTCAAATATATCAAATCCATTGGTCCATCTTGTACTCTGAACAGATCTTTTACCCAGTCATGATTTCTTTTTTTATTTTTGAGACGGAGTCTTGCTCTGTCGCCAGGCTGGGGTGCAGTGGCGCAGTCTCAGCTCACTGCAATCTCCGCCTCCTGAGTTCAAGCGATTCTCCTGCCTCAGCCTCCCGAGTAGCTGGGATTATAGGCACGCACCAACACACCCAGCTAATTTTTGTATTTTTAGTAGAGACGGGGTTTCACCATGTTGGCCAGGGTGGTCTCGATCTCCTGATCTCGTGATCCGCCCGCCTCGGCCTCCCAAAGTGCTGGGATTACAGGCGTGAGCCACCGCGCCCGGCCTCAGTCATGATTTCTTAACATCACATATTAGTCATCCAGAACATACTGATTCACTGAGTTATACGGATCTTCGAAACACAGAAAAAATCTTTATATAATATCAAAAACTCACATTTGTTAATTACTATCCATCTCATTAGAAAAGGCTTTATGTAAGGCTGTGCATGGTGGCTCACACCTGTAATCCCACTATTTTGGGGGACTGAGGCGGGAGGACTGCTTGAAAGAAAGAAAAAGAGAAAGAAAAAGAAAGAAAGAGAGAGAGAGAGAGAAAGAAAGAAAGAAAGAGAAAGAAAAAGAAAGGAGGGAGGGAGGGAGGGAGGGAGGGAGGGAGGAAGGAAGGAAGGAAGGAAGGAAGGGGAAGGGAAGGGAAGGAAGGAAAGAGAGAAAGAAGAAGAGGAAGAGGAAGAAGAAGGAGGAGGAGGAGGAAGGAAGGAAGAAGGAAGAAGGAGAAGAAGAAGAATCAGAAGAAGAATTAGTAGTAGTAGTAGTGAAAGCGAAGAGAAAGAGAAGTCTTTATGTTAAGGAAAGCTGTCAAGCTTCCAGTGGAGGAACACAACTTTTCCAAAATTATACATTTTGCTAGAAATCTCCAATTTTATCATTGGCACAACAAATACCAGTTGTTTTCCGTGAAGAGGCCAACTTAGTTCAATTTTGAGAAAATGTCTGCCAAACATCCAAATCTAATAACCAATCATCGTTTTTCATTAGTCATTCTTTTCAGTGAAAATGGCAAGCCATGAAAAAAAGCAGCAAATTCAATTGGCAACTCAAATAATCAAACAAGTGCTTCTCCTGGAGACAGCCTCGTACCTAGGCATGCAGCAGACGTGTCTGTGCGTACTTGCCACTCCATCACACAGGATATTCACAGGGTATTGCAGATGCACACACAAAAGCATGCAAATGCAGAAGCCATGGCTGGACAACAACATATCACATATTTAATAGGCGCCACTACCTTCTGGTAATGCAATGCAGAAAAATGGGAATATACGAGACTTTTATATTTTAACTAAAAACAAATGAATATAAAAAAGTCTGGTGGGATACACAAAAGAGGTTGACTGTGATTAGCTACTAGTAAAACTATGAATGATTTTTATTTTCATTTTTCTCACTTCCCTGGATTTTCTAGTTCTTCTATGACAGATATATTTGTTTCTTAACAAGTTATTTTTATTTACAAAAAAGCCAATCAAAGGCTTTGAAATGGATGGTGAACTGCTTAAAGTTAAATAATCATCGTTTACCCAACTCTGTGTCACAGTATAGGTTTTAAATTAAGTCACATGTGCTACATAAGAGAGATTAGAATCAAATTCTGACATCCTGGAAAAATAAAGGTACTTAAAATAATTAAGTAAATGAAAGCTAAAAAATATATATATAATATTCAGTATGAAAAACATTGTTTTATTACTTGAAAAATAATAGAAATTGTATATAAAATACAAAATATACACTTGCCTAGTGCAATTGGTCTCCATTTTACATTTTTTACATGTTTTTTCCCTATTTAATGGCACCCAAAATGCGGTTTCATTTTCACTGCCCTGGTCAACTAATACCATTTAACAACGTATTTAAGAACTTCTTCAAAAGACAGTAAAAACAATTTGTAAAATAACTATGCTTTCTTACATTTACAAAACAGAATTTTGATAATATATGAATATTTTATATCACATAATTACCATGTAACTACTAATCTGTTATCTATATCAAATCAGAGCACATAACATTTTCCAAATACACTGTTTTAATAAAGAGATTAGAAAACAGGACAGTAACAGTTTCTTAAAGCAATCTTACAGGAAGTCTAATTTAATATTCTGTTAGGTGATGTACTCACGTAGGCTCCCAGAAGACCCAGAAACTACATGAATTGCGGAAGGCTGATTTAAGATGCCAGTTCTTCAATAAACAGTGAACTTTGTAATTAGAATGATTTTTAAGCCAAAATACTACTCCTTACTCTTCAGAAATAAAATATAGCTATCCTCTTATAATACAGCAAGAAACATAATTGTTCTGGTAATTGCCAGCTTAACTAAAAAGACCTCCCCTTTTCGTTTTGTCCATTAATTTCTTGCTGGTATCACTTCCTTTGGCAAACCACACAGGTAATCGTCTCTTTCTCTCTGCAGATGAAGTCTGTAGGAAATAGAAAGAAAAAGAAATCAAATCTTTGTACTACTGAGAAGGGGTATTAGTTGCAAAAAAGTAACATAAGTTCCTGAATACACACCCATCCTTTCTCCCCCATCCAAACAAAATAGTGGTATCTATATAATTTATTTCTGGATCAAAAAGTAAATAAATATAAGACACACAAAATCACTACATCATTTCTTCAGGCAATTACTTGCCATCTCATCATGTAGTCTTATACACTCAACACACCTCATTCAGTAAGTAAAAATCTGGACATTATTTCAGATCTGTGTCCCATGGTGTACTTGCTTTGAGTTGACCAAAATGGTGAATTTAATGTTCTGAGGAAGGAACATGCCTGGGCATGTATACATACACAAAGAGTTATATTAGGCATGTGAAAAGAATATAGCTTCTAACATCTACAACGGTAGGTAGACAGACTGGTCCAATCAGCACCCTGTAGAGTGGCCAAGGCATAGTACGCTTAACAAACATTCGCTAAATAAATGAAAAAAATAAAAGTTTCTTGTCTCATAGACTCATCTAAGAATCACTACAGATCCACTTCCCAGAAAAAAAGAGAAACATACACGTGCACAACACTTTCACACACATTTCAGCAGCTCACGTGCCAAAGAGCCTCTAACCCTCAGGTTAAACATCCTTGAAAAAAAAATAATTTAAGGCTGGGTGAGGTGGCTCACGCCTGCAATCCCAACACTTTGGCAGGATCACTGGAGCCCAGGAGGTCAAGGCTGTAGTGAGCTATAATCACGCCACTGCACTCCAGCCTGAGCAGAGTAAGACCCTGTCTCAAAAACACACACACAGGCACACACACACACACACACAAAGGTAGTGTTTGGGTACAATACCATCTGCACATGAAAAAAAATTAAATAATTTAAGTAGCTAAGTGTTTCATAAGCCTAAAGTGTCATACACTTATGTTATCTCAGAGTACTAGATCCTCAGGATAACATGACAGAGAAATCATTCCATCATGAGTACACCCTGGAATCCAGAGTTAATTTGGTTATTATTAATAAAAGTAACTGAGGGATTTTATGAGAAGGTTGGCCTTATCTAAGGTACAAGGTGTCTGTTAGCCTAAAATACAAAAATACCATTTATTCCATTTCAATAATGAAGACTATCTAGATATTGTTCATCAGCTGCTTGCTATGTTTGATTATATTCCCTATGTTTAAAAAAGGCTTTGAAATATTTAACAGTAGGAAAACAGCAAAAGATCCTTGGCAGAAGACTCTGAAACTTTATATTTAAAAAAGGTAAAAACTTAGCTGTTCCAGCTTAAGTACAGAAATCCAGGGTAGAAAAAAGGGCTTTTCACACATCAGCAAAGGCTAAAGAAAAAACTGGCTAAGATTGCAACTTTGTTCCTAGGTACCCAATTGCAAGCAGGGAAGAGAAAATCAAAAGAACGGATGAGACTTATATACACTGTAAGATACTATGACTTAGAAATAATAAATACTGGGGATATAAGGTGGCATACAGAAAAGGCATTTTGCATCTTTCTAATGATCAGTGATGTTGAGCTTTTCTTCATATGTTTGTTGGCTACATAAATGTCTTCTTTTGAGATGTGTCTGATCAAGTCCTTTGCCCACTTTTTAATGTTTTTTTTTTTTTCTTGTAAATTTGTTTAGGTTCCTTGTAGATTCTGGATATTGGGCCTTTGTCAGATGCATAGATTGCAAAAATTTTCTCCCACTCTGCCAAAAGAGGAGTACATCTGAACAGCAATAGAGCAGAGGAAGAAACCCTAAGTCATGTTGTAGCCTAATACCATGGAGTAGCACAGACTTTGAAACCAGGCAGAACCAGGTTTGAACTTTAATTGAGCCACTTGCTAAATGTATGACCTTATTATGCGTGTTACTTAAGCTTCAACGTCTTCACAGAGAAATGGAAATAATAGTACATAACATCACTGAATTCTTTGGAGTTAAATAAGAATAAATGTAAAATAGCAAAACACATCCTGATTTCTTCTTCAAACTCATTAATTGGTAGCGAATATCATTTCAAGTCTTATCTTCTATATTTCTATAAATATGATCATCAGCATTTATAATGGAATTATAATAATGATCTTATTTCATTGGGAAAAGCGGGGAAATGCTTACTTACACTAAGTGTGTCTTTTGAGTGTCAACAATAAGTATTTGAAGTCTTCAGTATGATATCTAAGTTACCTAATAGAAACAACGCCTTCCAGTGTCTATTTCCTTCATCAGTAGAACACTAAAATTCCCAGCAACAAAATTTTAAGGGGCTCTTTACATCTTTTTAATACTCCCAACTCTGTTACCAAGCTATTACCATTAAGTTACGAATAGGAAACATCAACTCATTTGCTGATTATATGTGTACATACGGATGTAAGCAAATACAGAAATATGTAAGTTACATTCACATTTAATTTCATTTATAAACAAGATCAATCCATATATTTAGTTACCGAGCCTGATACATTTGTCATGAAAACTATTTTCATAAGTCAATTTTACCTGTGAATGAGCATCTGTAAATAAATCTTCTACAAAACAATTTGTATAAAATATTGTGTATTTTAATTTATAATCAAACTCAGCGGTCAAGCAGGAAATGTCATACATTCTCTCTTATACAGTCAAGAAAAATAAGAAGAAAAAAATGACATAGGAGGAGAGGGTACTGGGAAGAGGTGGCAGCAGCTGCAACAACAGAGCTTTTAATCTTTCTGAATTCCAGAATTAAGACAGAACTAGATAGTAAAACCCAAAATCCATTGTCGACATTTACAATAAAACCAAGTTTAAAGGTATCCTTGGGAAACTAAAACTGTAAGAATGTAGGGGCAAACCACCAACAGCAATTAAGACCTGCACAGTACTGACATCTGTACGGGAGAAAGCAGAGGCCAGCAGGGAGGTGTCTGATAACAAGAGAACCCCAAGATAGCCCACAGGCATACACTGGAAAGACAGATTAATGAGAGATTAATCTGATAATAGCATCTGAAAATGGGAGGGCTTTTGTCCAAGCCAATAGCAAGTGAGTACAAGGAATCCACAGTGGTCTCTTAGGTGAAGAGAGCAGCTGGCTACTCTGAACCCTGGGACTAGCCGAGGCTGCCTTCTAGGAGAAGGCTCCACATTCAGGAGAAACCACTGGGGTTAAATCAAAACCAAGCAGGACAGGTACAACAGAGACAAAAGGAAGAGAAAGCCCAGATAAAAATGGCAGAGTAGATCTCATAAACCAAGTTTCCATATTTTAGACATTACACAAAAACATTAGAGACAGATGTGAAATTGGGAAAGCCATCTTGAACCACGCCTTCTTTTGAAAGTACAGGAAAACTAATCTCATACGAAAATGAGCAAAAGAAAAGTATCAAGGTCAAATCTTTGACACCAGAAAGACTTGCTTAGGTACAGAATAAAACTGTAGCCTTTCCAAATGAGCTGGAAAACATTAGGAAAATTATCTAAAATACAAAAGGACATCACAAATCAAAATTAGAAAAGTTCAAAACTGAGGGGGAAAACCGAAGAAAGAATCAGAAATAAAAGAAAAAAATTATAGAAGTCTTCAGTTAATAGTGTTGCTCCTTTGGTAAAAATAAAATATGTATATATAAATAAAAAAAGAATTTTTAAATCTAAAAAACGTTTTAAAATAATTTTAAAATAAGTGAATACTAAGCTATGTGGAATACAGAAATAAATACAATTATGTTAAAAGAGAAATAGAAGGTGAAAAGGAAGAAAAAAATTTAAAGAGAAATGAAGAAATAAAAAGAATGCATGAAAAGTGAAAAATATTGAAGCTGGGTAATGAAGATCCAACATACATGTATAGCAGGAGTTCCTGAAGAAGAAATATGAAGTAATGGAATAAAACACTAAAAAGTATGATTTAAGAAAACTTTATAGAAATGAAATTTTAAAAAAACTATCATTTAAGAAAACTTTCCAGAAATAAAAGAATACTAAATATTTAAAGAATCCACCATGTACCTATGGATATTGAATCAGAATTATCAATGCCAAGACATCACCTTTCTGTTAAACAAGGACATGATTGAGCTTCCATCTTAATAACAAACACAAGAGATATAAACACAACAATACGTCAACTAATAAAAAGAATTTGTTCTAATGACTTTATCCTTTGTCATAATTATAAAATGAAATAGACTAAGGGATATAAATCAGGTCAGTAGAGAAGATGAATGTTAACATATGACAGATTCTGAAAGTAGGCCTCCAACACTCTACAGAAATCAGCTTTTCATACAGGGAGGCTAATGAAGACATATGCTTTGGATGACTTACTCACCTCTTATCTACTTCCCAGCCCCAACACCCTTGTTCCCCTAAATGGGGAAAAGGGGCCAAATAAGGTATACCTTTTAGAATCTAGCAAGCTTAGTAAAATTTCTCCCCACCCAACCCCCCCCAAAATACCCACCATTCTCTTGTTGACATGTAATGTTACTGAAATAGCGAAAAATGTTACTGAAATAGGGAAAAAGCAAAAATGGCAATATATAGTTAAAATAATATTTCACTACAAATGTGCTTCAATATTGAGAAAAAATAGTAAGTTACACCGTTTTCTATACTGACAGGTTGAAGCTGGGAAACAATAAGAGGGTCTTAGGTATCTGGTATAGATTACAGAAATAAAAGGCTGAGCATTAGAAGCTAAATTTCATTACCTCCACTCAAAATATGTTTTCTTTAATGTTCCTCTTATAGCTAGTTCAGTTATAAACAATATAAAGATTTCCAACTAATTAAGTTCCATTAGATTATCTAGGACATGACTATATATACAGACGTAACTCAAGTACAGAATTTAAAAAGATCAGTTCCCTTATTTTTAAGCAATTCAAAAAAGTAGGGGTTTAATTGCTGGACATCCTATAAAGATTACCTTAGAACTAAGTGTAATTCCTAATTCTCTAATACAAAATAATCACCACCACCTACTACCACATTGAATTTACCAACTAAGAATTGAAACAATTTTTTAGTTAATCATTTCCAAAATATTTATAATGGAGTCATATAATTTTAGACCCGGAAGATACCGAAGGTCAAATTTTCAAATTTATGCCATCATTTAATAGAGTCATATTATTAAACAATATATCTGATTGCTATTTATCTCATGCCATACACAGAGCAATTATTTTTGAAGCATTTGATTTTAATAAAACGTACCATCTAACATAATACTAAATTTGTAATCTTTCTCTCATCATGCAAAAGCACTACGAAATGCTCAGAGCCACAAGCAACAATAATCCTGGTACCTCAGATATTCAATATCATACTAACAGAGCATGAAGAATGATAGAATGATAATAAACCAGTTTGGGAGGTATTTATAATACAATTTGTTTTCACTTTCATTAACTACATAAACTGCCATATGCTTAAATCCATTAACTATACCTCCGAAAGATTTTCCAGGCTATACGGTCAATATGAGGTACAGGTAAAATTTAAGCTGACATTCTACATAATAAGCTAAACAGATGGACTAAACCTCCCTTTTACTGTCTTTTTTTTAATCACTTTTCTCAGATCATATTTATGAAAAGCAAAGGAAATGTAGCACATAGAGAAAGTAATCATATCAGAATTCATAACAGTTCAAAAAAATACAGCATTCTAGTACTAGGATATGCAAATTGAACAAACTGACACTTTATGAAAATTCTATATATAATTAATACCTCAGTATTGATGCCTACTTCTTCCTTGCTTCTCTTAGAACTTGAACAGATCTCTTCAGAACCGGGAAAACATCTCCTTTTGTTGACATCACATGAAGGTTGAAGTCCGCTGTCAGGACCATGTTTAAGGATCTCAATTGCCATGTGGATAAGGTACGTGTCAATGTTTTCAGGAACTAACATTCTGATTAGGCTAATTTTACTCATATCTGTAAACGATAAAAAAACTCCATTTCAAAATAAATTACAGAGAATATTTTAGAAAACCTATGAGCTAGAAATACTGAAATATTCTGTAGAAAGGAAGGTGGAAGGTTGCCAAAGAAAAGTTTCCTCTTTCAAATGCCTATAGCCTTACGGAATGGAAATGGAGTAAAAACTCCACTCGGGTATCACCTGAAGCCCCTGCCTCCAAGATCCAAAGTCAGGTCAGTACTATTGACACTGCATAAATTGTGTTTCAAACTGTCTTTTGTGGGCTGCCTTGAGAATCAAAACAACCATTCGTGGAATTGTTCTAAAGGAAATTGTGCTTCCAATTCCAAATATCAATTATAATTAGTTTTCTCTTAAAATAATTTATTCTGATCACTTGTTGGCCTTTTGCCTAAGATCAAGTATAAAAATAATTTATTTAAATAGAAGCTAATCGTACCTGTAAATAACATTCTAATAAAAAAGATTCTTTCAATGGCTATTATTGTAATAACAAGAGACATCAATGATTTTAAAAGCACATTAACTAGATGAGATTTCTGGGAACATATTTCTTATTTTCAGAATCAAGAAACTTTACATTTTTTGCAACTCAACAGAACTAATTCAGACTGTGTCAATTTCTTGACACCTTCTAAAATTATGTAGCACCCTCCTATAGGCAAGCCAATAATTATGTTTCAGCACTTCCTTCCAACATCACATTCTTCTGCAATGCTCCAGAGTGCGGTAAACCCAAGCAGTTTAGAACCTACTCACTCATCTTCACCTAATTTACAAAACATATCAAATATTTGACACTCAATTCAAATCAGTGATCAGAAATCAAGTATTTTTCAAATGACAACCTGAAAAGACGTTCTTTAAATTGTTAGTTTTCAGGTTTATATTTTCCTTTCTTCCAAAGATTAGCTTGCTACTCCAAGACTCCTCAAAATACTGCAGTTAAAAAGCAAAAAACAAAACAAAACAAAACAAAAAACAGGAAGAGAAAGTTACACAGCTAATAGAAACTAGGTAAGTGGGTTAACTAATTAAAGTTTCAAAATCTTAGAAAGGAAAAGATAACCTCTATACATAGTAAAATCAGCAACGTGATGATCACATCTCTCAACCAAACTAAAATTGTATTTGTCTCTTGGTCATTATATCATCCTAGTATCATCAAAATTCCCCCAATTTTACTATTTCATCATTTTTTAATGGCTCAGTATTCTGTTGTATGTATGTATCCCAATTTACTTTGAGTTCCCTTTTATTTGTCTTCAAATTTTAAAATATGTTTGGAACCACTTAGGCACATTAGTCCACGTTGTTCAACAGTAAATTTTACAAAAGCTAAACACAGATCAAGTATTTCCAGTTAAAATTTAGCATCAGAAGATTTGTTGTATATATAAAGTACATACCTGATTACAAAGGCTTATTACAGAAAAAAGTATGTAAAATATCTCATTAATAATTTTCATATTGATTACATGTTGAAATGATAAAATTTTAAATATAGTAGACTAATTAAATTATATTATCAAAATAAATTGCATCCATTTACTTTTTAAAATGTGGCTACTAGAAAATTTAAAATTGCATATGTAGCTCACATTGTATTTCTACTGACAGTGCTGTTTTAGAAAGACCATATAAATTTTCCCACACTCGAAACCAAGTAATACACAACTACATTCCATTAAATTCATTTTCTTCCATGGGTATTTAGAAATTAGATAAATAAACTATGTATGATTAATTTCTTCATACTATAAATGTAATATTTATAAACCAATTTTTTAGGGAAAAATCACACAAGCTTGAGCTATTATCATGTAATGCGCTAAACAAATTAATTTTAAAAGAAAAAGTAAGATATTTTATTCTCTTTTGAATCACTTTATTTCTAAAATTAGAATGTCTTTTGTTCATAAAATGATGATGCATAAACATCCGCTTATGGTGTTAAACCACTATTAATGATTTAAAGTTAAATGTATAAAGTTAACTTCTAGATATAAGTTAAAAATTCATATATTTTTCTAATACATTTCTATAAGTACCCTTTATATTTCTATGGTAAATTCATCCTGCGTTTTATATATATGCAAATAAGTGGCATTTAGCTTTACAGGTGCATCTTACTCTGCTCTAACTTCCCATGTAAATAAGTGCTGAAAATATCTACTGCAGAATTAATGACAACACTGGCTACACGCCTTCAGTGTTTTAAAAGAGATCATATTAACCTTACTTTTGTAGTAGATCCCTTGGAAGCCACTCTTAATTTTCCAGTTACATGCACATTAAGAATGGGGGAATAAAATTAATCAAAATACTGTCTAGGTACTTCATTCAATGCCTTAATTTATTATTTAGCATAGTTAGAATCCCAAATCCATAAACAGAGTTTAAAATTATATAAACAAGGAAAAACAAAAAGAATACAAAGGTACAAAGCTCCTTTAAATATGAACAGTTTTCCAGACAAAATCTACTTAACAAATAAGAGTATGAAATTAATAGCTATGTTTTCTCAATTCATAATTACTCTATTTTTAGGTAAATATTGTGTCATAATAAAATACAGGAAACTTCTCAATTCAGGATTGTACAAAGTTTAGATTTCAATCAAACTTGTTCTTTAAAACTCTAAATTATTGTGGCATGGCTACAGTTAAATAAAATATGAAAATAACATATCTGAATCGTTATTATAGTATGTATATCCTCATTCCTTGTTATATCATTTATAATCCAACAATGTTTTCTCCAGTAAGAGAACAAAAAGTATTTTATAAAGAAAAAATAAGAATCCAAAAGCACAATCTCACATCCAGAAATGATAGTTTAATGATTATGAGTGTACTATCAAAAGAAATAAAAGAGGGCTGGGCTCAGTGGCTCACACCTGTAATCCCAGCACTTAGGCAGGCTGAGGTGGGAGGATCGCTTAAGGCTAGGGGTTCAAGACTAGCCTGGGCAATGTAGTGAGAACTCATCTCTACAAAAATACTTAAAAATTAGCCAGGTGTGGTCCCAGCTACTTGGAAGGCTGAAGTGGAAGGCTTGCTTGAGCCCAAGAGTTCAAGGCTGCAGTAAGCTATGATTGTGCCACGGCACTCCAGCCTGGGAAACAGAGTAAGACCTTGTCTCAAAAAAAAAAAAAAAAGAGCTCATGGTTATCACAACCTTCTTAACCTCCTCTATTCTGGATTTAAAAGTAGGCTACAAAAATATACTTTTTCATATTGTATGTACAACCTACATACAGTGTATTAACCGAAGGATAAGTTTTTAGTAAGTATATCTTAAGAATTTTTCATTATTATATTCTGCTTGATTTTAATATTTCTTACTTTAAAGGTAAGGGGTATTTAAAGACACTCAATAAATAAAGATATGAAACTGATTATAAATAAGTTAATTTGTTTCACTCATCAAGTTAGAGTTTATATACCCATATCCTATATCAGGATTAGAAATTGCATATTTCTTTCTTTTAAGTTAATTGGCAGTACAACTTTAACACGAGTAAAAAGAGAAACTTGTTCAGTTATTAATCTTAGACATGGTATTAAAACAGTTTTATAACTCTCTAAGCCTCACACTCTTTCTCTCCAAAACAGGGTGGGGATAGGAAAGGGAAAGTGTAATGATTTCCAGTTTCATTTCTAAATCTAAAGTTCGATAACTTTGTGCCTACATGATTTAAAAAGCAAATTAACAGTGCTTCAATTCTTTACCATAGGCAAATAAAACAGATGCTGTCAATATGTGGCTGAATAATATAATATGAAATTTTTCTTTACCATTTCCCTCTGCCCATAATGAAGTGATGTTAGAATGTCCATTTAGGACATTCAGGAACATATGCCCAAGAATTCTTTAGTGTGAATGAGCACGCATGCGTGCGCGTGTGCACACACACACACACCCCATTACAACCTGTTTGAATTCTTAAATTGTATGCCTCTGTAAGATATATTTTGGGGAACATTCTTTCTTATATACTTATTAAGTTCATACATTCTTAAGTGCCTATTCAAAAGGACAGACTATAAAAATAATCATATTTAGAGGGTACTTTTAAGACACCATAAAATTTTACCATCTATGTCTTCAATCATCATCATCATCATCATCATATTTGCCACCACCATTTGCTATTACCAGTGTGCCAAAGCTTTCTGAACAGTATCTAATTTACAGTCATGCACCACATAATGATGTTGCAGTCAACGACGGGCAGCCAACAGGAACAAGTATCCATTAGATTATCATGGAGCTGAAAAGTTCCTACCACCTAGTGACATCATGCCATCGTAACATCACAATGCAAAGCATCACCCATGTGTTTGTGGTGGTAATGGTGTAAACAAACTCACCTTGCTGCCAGCTGTGTAAAAGTCTAGCATGTACAATTATGTACAGTATATAATACTTGAAAATGATAATAAATGACTATGTTACTATGTTTATGTGTTTGCTATACTATACATTTTATTATTTTTTAGAAGTTCACTGTAAAACACGCAGGCCCTTCTGGAGGTGTCCAGAAGAAGGCATTGTTATCACAGGAGATGACAGCCCCATGCATATGACTGCCCCTGAAGACCTGGTGGGACAAGATGTGGAGGTGGAAGATAGTGAGACTGATGATCCTGAGCCCATGTAGGCCTAGGCTGATGTGTGGGTTTTTGTCTTGGTTTTTAACAAAAAAAATGTAAAAAGTAAAAACAAATTTAACAAAATCAAAAACAGAAAAAATCTTAGAGAAGAAGGATATAAAGAAAATATATTTGTATAGCTGTACAATATGTTTGTGTTTTAAGCCAAGTGTTATTACAAAAGAGTAAAAAGATTTTAATTCATAAAGAAGAATCATTACAGTAAGCTAAGGTTAATTTATTATTGGCAAAAGAAGATAAATTTTTTAACTTTTGTTTTAGTTTCAAGGGTACATATGCAGGTACGTTATACAGTAGGTAGACTCGTATCACAGGGGTGAGTGTGGCCTAAGTGCACAGGGTTTATAAAGTCTACAGCAGTGCACAGTCCTAGGTCTTCACATTCACTCACCGCTCACTCACTGACTTACCCAGAGCAACTCCCAGGGTGCAAGCTCCATTCGTGGTAAGTGCCCTGTACAGATGTACCTTTTTATCTCTTTTTTTTTTTTTTTTTTGAGACAGAGTCTCGCTCTGTCTCCCAGGCTGAAGTGCAGTGGCACAATCTTGACTCACTGCAACCTCCACCTCCTGGGTTCAAGCAATTCTCCTGCCTCAGCCTCCTGAGTAGCTGGGATTACAGGCACCCAACACCACGCCCAGCTAATTTTTGTACTTTTAGTAGAAACGGAGTTTCATCATGTTGGCCAGGCTGGTCTTGAACTCCTGACCTCAAGTGATCTGCCTGCCTCGGCCTCCCAAAGTGCTGGGATTACAGGCGTGAGCCACCATGCCCAGCTTTTTTAAAAAATCTTTTACACTGTATTTCTACTGGGCCTTTTCTATGTTTCACTATGTTTATATATACAAATACCACTGTGTTATAATTGCCTACAGTGTTCAGTAAAGTCACATGCTGTACAGGTTTGAAGACAGGAGCTATACCGTACAGCCTAGGTGTGTAGTAGGCCATACCATCTAGGTTTGTTTAAGTCCACCCTGTGAGGTTCCCACAAAATGAAATCGCCCAACAACACATTTCTCAGAATTCATCCCCATCATCAAGCGACACATGACTATATTTCTCACAATTCTATAAGAGAGGCAATATTAACTCCCTGTCTTAGAGATGAGGAAATTGAATATTAGGGAAATTAGGTCACTTGATGGAGGTCACATAACAATGAGATGCTAGAGCCAAGGTCTAAATACAGATCTATCTATTCCCAAAGCCTTTGCTCTTACTGACTAGACCAACACCACCTGTAAGTTTCAGGATATAAAGAAGGCAGCTAAATGATAGCAAAAATGCCAACAGAAAAAAAAAAGGGGGTGGGGGGAACTGCACAAATTCTATTTTTTTTTTTTTGAGACAGAGTCTCACTCTGTTGTCCAGACTGTAGTACAATGACACAATCTTGGCTCACCACAACCTCCACCTCCCATGGGGGTTCAAGCAATTCTCCTGCCTCAGCCTCCCAAGTAGCTGGGATTACAGGTGTGTGCCACCAAGCCCAGCTAATTTTGGTATTTTTAGTAGAGACGGGGTTTCACCATGTTGGTCAGGCTCGTCTCCAACACCTGACCTCAGTGACCTGCCCGCCTCGGCCTCCCAAAGTGCTGGGATTACAGGTGTGAGCCACTGTGCCCAGCCTGCACAAATTATTTCAGAGAATATTGCCTATTACTCAATGTCTCATCGAAAGATGCAAATTGCTTTAAGCCCTGAGAGACAATACATTTCTAAAGGAAGAAAAATTCCACACGATGAGCATGAAGAAGACATCTGAGTCTTTGGCTTTCCCTAAAACGCTATCTCATTCTGCACTGGAGAAACAAAGGTTTCGACAACCATAAATCTAATCCTACAAAGTAATTACTATTTTCCTCTCTCTGCCTTGATTTCTGAAGTTAGGAAGATTAGAAGGTGACCAGGAGAGTTGGCCAGCTTTCTCATAAGATGCCTCTCTACCCTACCTTGGATGTTTTACAGCTTACTTCAGGATTTGGCTAATTTAACCTTAGCAAATGGTATTAACCAGGTTCACGAAATGCTAACTTATTAACTTACATCGTTAATTCGTAAGTATCACACAGATAAATACTCAGATTAGCATGACTACTACGTCCATTCCTTACATACAGATCTGCACGGGAAGTTATCATCAGAAAGCTAGGAAGTGATATAGAAGCAGAATTCGTTGTTAAGATACTGTCAAATATAAATTTTTCCCAATTTTTAATGCCTTTCATTTCTTCTTCTTGTTGCTCAGATGACATTAGGTAATTTTTCTCCTTTTACCCTTATTGTGTAATTAACATTTAAAGATTTTTCCAATCTTGAGTCATTCTAGCATTCCTGCACAAACTAAAACTTGTCAGGGTACAAGGTCTTTTTTTTTTTTTTTTTTTGAGACAGAGTCTCACTCTGTCACCCAGGCTGAAGTGCAGTGGCATGATCTCGGCTCACTGCAACCTCCGCCTCCCCAGTTCAAGCGATTCTCCTGCCTCAGTCTCCTGAGTAGCTGGGATTACAGGCGCATGCCACCACTGCTGGCTAATTTTTGTATTTTCAGTAGAGACAGGGTTTCACCATGTTGGCCAGGCTGGTCTTGAACTCCTGACCTCAAGTCAAGTCATCTGCCCGTCTTGGCCTCCCAAAGTGCTAGGATTATAGGCATGAGCCACAGTGCCTGGCGCAACACCTTTTTTTAATAGATATAATTTTTTGGGGGGAGGGATTTATTGTGCTTATGGGTGGCTTTGGTCTTTTAATTTTCCATCTCAGACCTTTATTTTCTGATTTTATTATAATTTTTTTAAATTATAACTTTTACTTTAGATTCAGGTAGTACATGGGCAGGTTTGTAACATTAGTATATTGCAGGATGCTGAGGTTTGAGGTACAATTGATCCCATCACCCAGATAGTGAGCATAGTACCCAACACGTAGTTTTTCAACCACTGTCCCTTCCCACCTTTTCAACCATTGTTCCTTCCCTCCCCTCAGTAGTCCCCAGCGTCTACTGTTACTTTTTTTTTTTTCTCCTTTTGAGACAGGTTCTCACTCTGGGTGTCACTCAGGCTGGAGCACAGTGGCATGATCACAGCTTATTATAACCCCAAACTCCTGAGCTCAAGCACTCCTCCTGACTCAGACTCCCAAGTAGCTGAGACTATAGGTATATGCCACCACGTCTGGCTAATTTTCTTATTTTTTGTAGAGATGGGGGTCACACTATGTTGCTCAGGCTGGTCTTGAACTCCTGAGCTCAAGCAATCCTTCCATCTAGGTCTCCCAAAGTGCTGGGATTACAGACACAAGCCACCACGCCCGGCCTGTTCTCATTTTTATATCCATATGCACCAACTTTAGCTCCTGCTTGTAAGTAAGAACATGCAGTATTTGGTTTTCTATTTCAAACATGACATTGACATAACTTATAAATAGGTTATTTATTTACTATACCTGAAGTCCCCTGGCCACTCCCCCGCATCCCTGGAACTTAGATGAGCACTACTCCAACTTGCCTCCGTGTCTGTCCTTTCCCTGTGCTTCCACCGTGATCAATGGAAGTGAAGGAGCTGTTTGTTCTTTAGACCTTCAGTCAAGTCACACTCAAGTCTAGAAATAATCCTGTCTTCTAAGTGACTTATTTTTGCTCAGATCCATTTAAGTACAGTATTGACTGTGCTTTCAGAGAGTGATCTTCCAAATTCTTGGGGGGAATTGTTCACAAGTTGTTCACAAATGGGAAAGACTTTAAGGTAGTAAAAAGTATCTTCACTGCAGCTTTGGAGATGAGGCTATTGGTATGGCCACTGCTCTATCCTAACAGTCAAAAGAAATTTATCAGATTTATTGAGTTATAAGACCCCAAGTTTGTATTTACACATCTAGGAGAGAAAATCCTCTAACGTATCTCCTATTTACTTCTGTTAAAAAAAAAAAGGATAATAATTTAAAATATTTCTACAGGGCAAGCAAAGGGGCTTGCTCTCCGCGAGCTGAGGTTCTGCAGCAAAGTGACAGGAAATCCTTCTACGTAGCGGCCCACAGAACTTGGTCTGTCCCTTCCATGTCACAGTAACTGATACCAATGACTGTGTTGATTAGAAAGGCTACTCAAGCGAAACCAATGACAAGGACTCAGAAGGATTTAGGGAAGAACTAGGAGTCAGGAAGCTACTGGGAATGAATGTGGAGAAAAATATGGTTTTTGCAAGTGATGAGATAGAAATTAGAAAAAAAATGAAAGTGCACGTTTTGGATGGTGGGGAAGTTGTAACCTTAAGCTGAAAAGGAAAATAAAAATTTCTCAGTGTATTGGCCAGGTGCCATGGCTCACACCTGTAATCGCAGCACTTTGGGAGGCTGAGGTGGGCGGATCATCAGAGGTCAGGAGTTCGAGACCTGCCTAGCCAACATGGAAAACCCTGTCTCTATCAAAAAATACAAAAAATAGCTGGGCATGGTGGCACACGCCTGTAGTCCCAGCTACTCAGGAAGCTGAGGCAAGAGAATCACTTGAACCTGGGAGATAGAGGTTGCAGCGAGCCAAGATCACGCCACTGCACTCCAGCCTAGACAAGAGAGCAAGACTCTGTCTCAAAAAACAAAACAAAACAAAAAAATTTCTCAGTATACTTTCCTCTGAGTGATAATGGGAAGAAAGATTGTTTTCCTAAAACAAGAAAAAGAATCACAAAAGTAAGGTTTTCATAATAGCATAAAGGATTAATGCTGTTAACAGTGAAAAATATAGTGGATTGCTTGTTTACTTCATCAAGTCATTAAGGGTGCAGAGCTAGGCCATGCCTCTCACCTGAGTTGACGGGAGGGTTTCGGATAACATCAGCAATAATCTTCTGAACCTCTGGAGTCAGGCCTGCTCGCTCCAAATCAAGGGGGCAGCCAGCTTTCACCGCTTGGGATAAGTGCATGCCAATTGTCATGAGAGGCAGAATCCTGCTCTCAGCTATGCTCTTCTAGAGAAAGATCAGCAAAGAACCCAGTGAGTTGTAAAAGTGTCCACTCCAGTCATGGAAATAAAATGTCCAAAACATTCAGGTAGTAAATGCTCAGTGTGAAATAAACAATGAACTAAACCTTTACTTAAGTTTTTCATTTTCAGAATTTCTTTAAAACTACCCCCATTATAGCTCTCTATAGGTTCTACTTTTTATACTTATTATACTGTATTGAATAAAACAAAATCACCCAGCTTTACCGAAGAATTCAATCCTCGCCCCTCTCTATTCACTTTAGAAAGCCGTTAGTGGCAGAGAAGTCATTCTCTGTAAGTCTAATAGTTGTCACAACCTTCTGAAAACATAGTAAACTGTAACCCAATACTATATACACTTGAAATAACACATGGTGGTTTGGTTACATGAATTTCCAAGAAGACAAATCCTAAAATGCTTAGAGATAACATAAGGCTCCAGATGCATTCTATAAAATGTTCCTGAGAAGACTCTAATAGGTGTTTGAAATTGGCTCTATTCATAAAATAATAATAACCACAGTTCCACAAGGGCTGTCAGCATTTTCCTACTATTGAACTTCACATGAACAGTGCTACATATTTATACAGTTCTTTAAACAAATGTGGCTCCAAATACATTTCAGATATTTATTAGGTAAAACATTCTTTTAAACACTCAGAAAGCTTTGTCACTCAGCTCTAACTTATTTCATGATCCTCTCTTTCAATACATTTTCAAAGTCTGAATTTAGACTGTATTTGCATAAATGTTGATACTTTCACAGAATAGAGCATTTAAGGCAATGTTTTTCATCCTTCAAAGGTAGGTTTTAAATTACTTTCATTAAATGTCTACTAGAAAAGTGTGCACCATGTGTGCATAATATCAGGGTTATTTGAAACCAGGTTTCAAATTACCTCCAACTAATTGTAGTATTGCTCCTGATTAATTAGTCCTAAGCATGTTTAATTCTGCGGTTAACTGGCAAGACCCTCTCAAACTCCTGGGAGGTAAGGATAATTATACCACCATATCACACAATAAAATACAACCAAATAATACCAAAAGACACAAATGAAGATATAACAGTCTTCACATTTTTAACCATGAATACATAAACTAACACATGAAACCCCATATTATGGCTGAGCATTAGAATACACTTAATTCAGAAAATTTGGAGCCAATAACAAATTTTCTTAGTAACTGTTTTCATTTCTACTATACATACATGGTCAAATTAGGTATATACAGGCATATTTAACATGTACATAGAAGTTATTGTTTACATAAGAAACTGAACTTAAAATTCCCATTTATTATGTGTTCTATTTCAAAAATAGTATAATGGAATTATTTGGTTTCTTGGGCAATGGCCTTTGTAAGGAACTTTAAGAAACATGACTGTCAAATTAGAGCATTTATTCAGTAAGTAAGATAAGCTATGGACTGTTTATTCTTATTTATTTTAAATGATAAAACCTGAACAAGAGGTGTGTAACACAGGCACTAGTGGATGGAACCACAGACAATAGAAAAGCAGGCATTGGACCATATCACTTGTTCCAAATCAACTTAATGTCAACAGGATGTGAACTCAAATTAAACTCAACTGTAAGCCTCATTTTGTCCCATCCCATTAAAACTTACTCTCCATTTTGTATACAAAAAACCTCAACAGCCTTAAAGATTTATCTTAGAACAATGAAGAAACATTACATATGGTCTTTTTTTTTTTTTTTTTTGGAGACCGAGTCTTGCTCGGTCGCCCAGGTTGGAATGCAGTGTCGCAATCTCAGCTCACTGCAACCTCTGCCTCCTGGGTTCATGCAAGTCCCATGTCTCCGCCTCCCAAGTATCTGGGATTACAGGCATGCGTCACTACGCCCAGCTAATTTTTGTATTTTTAGTAAAGACAGGGTCTCCCTATGTTGTCCAACTGGTCTCAAATCCCTGGCCTCAAATGATCTGCCTGCCTCAGCCTCCCGAAGTGCTGGGATTACAGGCATGAGCCACCACACCCGGCCTACGTATGGTCATTTGTTACAGCAATTAGATTGTTTTCAAAGAGCATCAAAACAGTACTAGAAGAGATAGAATGAAAAGCAAGTTTTTAAAAACATATTTCCAGTTGCTTGGCTATGCTTGCAGAGATCCAGTGTGTATTTTTTGTACACATACAAGAATATGTGACTATATAAGCATGCATATGCACACACGTTTACGTTTGTTTTTCTGTTTTGCACCTTCCTTTTTCTTAATGCATCTTGAGATTGTTTCTTAACACTGTGAATATTTATAGTTTTTAAACTGTTAGTCCCATTTTAAAATATGGCTGATGCAGTATCCCTGAGCTACAAATGTGTTTATCAGTACCCCGATACAATCTCTAGAAGATATTCATGGCCAAACTAAACTTGCTGCTATTACTTAACAGGGAGGCTTAACAGAAAAAGAAAACAACATTCTCTTTTAAAATTAAAGATAAACTGAGATTTATTGTAGGGTTGGAGGAAATTGATCCCAAGTCAGAACTTTAATACTAAAAAGCTGATAAAACACAAGTTTAAGTAAACTAAAAAAATTCCCTGTAACATGAAAGTCACACTTACCAAAGGCATCTTCTTTTCTTGGAATAAAGAGTATGTGATGGCCATAGACTGTGAAAGTGTGCATATTTTATTTTTTGCTACCAGACTCGTCTTCTGTTCTTCTTGAGGTTTTGTACTTGAAAAGAGGTCTGTCTACAGAATTTTTAATGTAGCACAAATGATCAGTAATATCAATACAATAATAGAATATATGTATGATAATTAGCCATTAAGAAAAAAATAACACAAGTTAAACCCATAAGCAACAAATAATTCCCTTTTTATGGGGAGCTCAAAAAGAAGTTGGATTTTTAACATATTGATTTTAAAAGGTAAAATAATGCTAGAGCACACAAAATTTTAATAAAATATTTGTAATAACAAACATTTCCTAGTCTTTTCTTTAACGAATAAGAAGGACTAAAAAAAGGAACTATAATGTGAACTACTCTGTCTTTAAATAAGTCCCCAATCTCCTGGAAGTGAATATTGAATGAATGAATGAATGAATGAACAGAATCACTATTCAAATTTAGGTACTATAACCACTAATATATCGTAAGGAAATATATCATAACACTCTCTCTACATATCTAATTTTAAATGATACATCCCAACTAGAAATCTAAGTATTCTATAAAATCTTAAATATGGTTCCTTAAGAAATGTTTAAAAGAAAAAATGGGAAAAACTGAAAAACAAGATTAATGAAAAAATAATGGAATCTTTTTAAAGGCTGAAATAAAGGTAAAGAGATAGAAAACTATTTTTTTAACTACACATAAAAGGTAGATGAAAACAGCATACTACAGTCATAATAAAACCTGTAACAGATGAAATTAATAATTTAAAGAAGAGCCTCGTCTCTTGATGAATGATATTGGTATCATTTTTATAGGTTATTTATCATGTGTTCTACTATATTATGTATACATATATGAGGAAATGTGTCCATGAGCTCTTCTTTTGGAAAGATTTATTTTTTGTTTCCATATTCTGTTATTAGGGAGTTTAAGAAATTTATTAGTTGAGTACTAATTTACTGCTTGGTGAGAAACATAAATGTTTCTGTTTTACTTTTTACATGCTATATATATGATGCCTAATGTTTCAATTATCTGACCCAAGGCAATAAAATGTGCTTGCCAAATACTTTGGGGGATTACATTTTACATGTGGAAGAATCTCAGAGCTAAACTCTCACATCAACACAAAAGATAATTTCAATCAAATAACCCTAGCAGTGGAGATTTCATGTTCTGAGCATACGGTGGGCCTAATAAAACAGTCCCAGGTGTTACATGTTTCTGTTTCTCTTTTACAGCTTCATAATAGCTGCATTTTGCAATTTATAGAAATCCCACCAAGACAAAATGGGTATTTACTGAGGAAGCATTGTTGGCTATTCAGACTGGTCACCCCACTATGGCAACACCATGGTCTAGGCCAGCATTTCAGTCCTCATCCTTGCAATCTCAAAAGTCTAATGTGTCTTGTTACAGGGTAGTTGGGTTTTGGGGAATAGAGCTGCACTACCCATCTATTGAGCTTGGTTTTATGTGTATGTGTGTATAAATATCAGTGTATATATTAGAAAGGAAATTCATTAATTTATGAGGCATACAACTAGACAGTTTCACTTGCCCCAACCAGTATGTTCTGTCCTATACAAGAGTTATACAGGAAGCCAGCTCACCTGAAAGTTGAGAACAAGTTTGGAATATAACAAAGACACTTTTTTTTTTTTTTTCTATCACTCAGGCTGGAGTATTGTGGCACAATGATGGCTCACTGCAGCCTCAAATCCCCGGGCTCAAGCAATCCTCCTGCCTAAGCATCCTAAATAGCTGGGATTACAGGCTAGCACCACCATGCCTGGCTAATTTTAAGAAATTGTTTTTGTAGAGGTCGGGTCTCACTATGTTTCCCAGGTTGTTTTCTAACTCCTGGCCTCAGGTAACCTGCCTGCCTTGGCCTCCCAAAGTGCTGGGATTACAGGCATGAGGGATTGCACCTTGCCATGAGGGAACTTCTGATAGTGCCTTAAGTAGTCTCTTAACAAAGATTAAGTTGAGGCATTTTCCTTGACAATTAAACTATAATATTCAAATCTAGTTAGCAAAAATGTCTTTTTATCTGAAGAGTGCTTAGGTAAGCTTTGCCAACTTTTGTCCTTATTGCCTTTTCTATTTATATCTTCCTATAATTGACCACTCATCTTTTTTTTTTTAAGGTTTATTGTGGGATATATCAAACATATACACGAGTCGAGGGAATAAGATGGGCACCACCCGGTTTCATCAACTGTCATTCATAGCCAGTATTATTTCATGAACATCCTTAGATATTTTCTAACTACCCTGTCCCTACCCCTGAATTTTTTTAAAATAAATAATATTTGTACATATTTATGCCATACATGTTCATATAGTCTTTTTTTTTTTTTGAGATGGAGTCTCGCTCTGTCGCCCAGGCTGGAGTGCAGTGGCACGATCTCGGCTTACTCCAAGCTCCGCCTCCCAGGTTCACGCCATTCTCCTGCCTCAGCCTCCCGAGTAGCTGGGACTAGAATACGATTTGATCACATTTTTGCTTACTAGAATCACATTCTTGCCCTACCTTCCTAAGAGTATTATTTCAGATTACTTTGCCAAGTATTTTGGATATCCTTAAACTCTTTAATTGTACATTTATGGATTATATCATTACTTTGTTCCAGAAATTCTCAAAATTCTCAAAAAATGTATTTATATAAAAATATTTTAGCATATTTTTCCTATTCGGCCATCTTAATGTGTTTAATATGTGTCATATTTGTAATTTTTAATGTGTATTGTGACAGCAAGAAATTTTACTTCAAAATTTAAAAAAAAAATAAAAGGCTAATGAAACTCATGAATAACAAAACTTGCTTAATAAACATTAAAGTTGTTTTTTTTTAAATAATTCATTTCAATTTGCAGAATAACCCAAGTATAATTTCTAATCACAGAAATCAGCAGTCATCTTCTCTATCCAGAAGGTTCATAAAGGTTTCATACCTATCCCTTGGGGAATTTACCTTTTCCCCTACTTCATTTTCCTCTTCTGAAGGGGAGTTAGGAGAGATCACTCATTCATTATTAAATAATATCACTAATTCATGAAAGAAGATACTACTTTCAAGTGTCCAAAGAGAGGGAACTTACTCAATTACCGCTGGTAGGTATGATATTCTTTCTCAAACTATTAAGACATTATAATTTCATTTCCAAAAACTCAGTAAGAAATAAGAATTTTCACATGATGTCTTATATAAGAGTATGAAAAAGAAAATTCAAAGTTGCCAAAGATACTCTATATCAAAAGAGGGAAATGCTACATTCAAAAAGCAGAAGGGTTTTCTACTTATAGTTAGAGAAAGATTTTTCTAAAGTAGGATCCAACTGTGCCTGCCCAAAGCTTCCAGGAGCTTCTTGGAAGTAAAA
This sequence comes from Homo sapiens, assembly GCF_000001405.40. NCBI lineage: Eukaryota > Metazoa > Chordata > Mammalia > Primates > Hominidae > Homo > Homo sapiens. Next base: position 31,151,309 of record NC_000008.11, on the reverse strand, counting down.
AATAATCCCTTAATATTGCCTTGAATGTGTTTAACTCTTTCAACATTTTATACTTATCCCATGTCTTCTATTTTCTAATGTCATCTGTTGTTTCCTGGATGTGGGGGAGGAAGTGTCATTTCCATTGTATAGCTGAGGAAATGGAGACCCAAGGAAATTAAAGGACATGTGCAGGTTCACCAGGTGAACAACTGTAAGGAAGAACTAAAGTCCTGATTCCGTGACTCCTAGTCTAGTAGTCTCCCCTCTACCTCCCACTGCCTCACCTTCTGCAGAGTATGCATTATAGAGTCTGCTACGTGGAGTTTAGAGAAAATCCTAAATGACATTTCTGGAAATGGTCACTTAGGGCAGAACAAGCAATAATAAAAGGATATGAAGGAAACACTATTAAAACTGAAGAGAATAATATGAAATCCACTTACTATCAAAAGACAGCATTACTGGAAGGGGAGGGAGATTAGAGAAGATGCTAAACCAAAAGAAAGTGGCTGAGCTCCTGACCAACTCATAGCAAGGATAACTTTCCAGCTTTAAATTCCAACTACCACATTTGAATGTAAAATTATAATTTATCAACCTAAAATAATGTTTCCAATTTAAAAACAAAACCTCCCAATGAAATAGAAAGACATCAGCAGCCTGGACAACTACTTTTTAGTATCATCTTTAAAAGTAGATAACTGACATGTTTTTACAACAGATTGACTGTAAAAACAATTTTAATTCATTTTCTAAGTGTCCAGTATGGAAATGCAAATAAAGTGAGCAAATGTTGCTTCTGGAGGGTACTTTTGAAATGGTTACAAAAAATGCTTATTCTCTAAGAGCTCCTGCAAACCACAGTATTTTACCTGAACACTATTTGTTTGGCAGAAATGTTTGATGACTTCCAACAGAGGGGCCAACATGGCAGCTTTGCCTTCAGAAACACCATCAATCCTTTTTACGTTTTCAACCGTAGTTGGTCTGTGTTTAACAACAACAACAACAACAACAAAAAGGTCAAGAAACCACTGAAACAGTATCACTCCAGCAATATAGCTGATGTTCAGCTTCCTAATGATTCTCTCAATAAATGTATAGTTTTTCCAACAACCAAAAACAACGTATAATACAACTAATCATGTTTTATAATTTCTTTCTTTGCTTTCCACCATTTAAAGATTTGTCTTGCCCCCATCACCACAAAAACACACTGTTAATTGGTAAACAGGACATTGTCATAAAGGAACAGGTTAACATCTCATATATTCACTTTATTACTGATTTTATTATTATTTTTATTGTCATGAAAAGGAAAAATATGAGGCTTTAACTGGGAACAACTAAGAGGCTAAGAAAATCTCAAAAGAAAGTCTCATTCATTATTTTCTTCTACAAAGTGTTTACCTGTAACAGTATATCTGCCAATTCCTTCAGACTTTTAGCTCAATATTTCTTATTGTGTCCAATATCCAAGAACCCATTCGATGCCCTCCTTCTAAAAATCTGCCTATCTAATGATTATTATTTTTCATTAAATATCTCCTCTGGGCCAGGCACTGTGGCTCACGCCTGTAATCCCAACAATTTGGGAGGCCGGGGCGGGTGGATTGCCTGAGCTCAGGAGTTCAACACCAGCCTGGACAACACAGTGAAACCTCATCTCTACTAAAATACAAAAAATTAGCCGGGGGTGGCAGCGCGCACCTGTAGTCCCAGCTATTCCGGAGGCTGAGGCAGGAGAATTGCTTGAACCCAGGAGGCGGAGGTTGCAGTGAGCCGAGATCGCGCCACTGCACTCTAGCCTAGGTGACAGAGTGAGACTCTATCACCAAAAAAAAAAAAAAAAAAAAAAAAAAAAAAAAAAAACACCTCTATTAAAGTATGGTCTTAGAATATTTATTTATTTTTATTTTTTATTTTTTTTTTAGACGGAGTCTCGCTCTGTCACCCAGGCTGGAGTGCAGTGGCGCGATCTCCGCTCACTGCAAGCTCCGCCTCCCGGGTTCACGCCATTCTCCTGCCTCAGCCGCCAGAGTAACTGGGACTACAGGCACCCGCCACCACGCCCGGCTAATTTTTTGTATTTTTAGTAGAAACGGGGTTTCACCGTGTTAGCCAGGATGGCCTCGATCTCCTAACCTCGTGATCCGCCCGCCTCGGCCTCCCAAAGTCCTGGGATTTACAAGCGTGAGCCACAGCGCCCGGCCAGAATATTTATTTTTTAACAAAAGAATTAGTGTCAGATGTAGCACTGTGTAATGTCATTAGAAAATTCTGCACTCAAGTAACATCTATTGGATGCAATTTAGTGACAGAAACAATTTTTTAAAAGGAAGTAAAAGACAAATACAATTACCAAGCAACTATTCTTGGGAAATAATTTCTTCTAAATATTTAATGATCACCTCCTGTTTATGAGGCATTGTGCTAGGTGCTACAGGAGACACACAAAAAGGTAAGGAGCTAGTATCTTTATTTGGAGTTTAAAATCTAGAAGATATAATAATACTTGTTTACCACTAATTACAAAAAAATAAAATATAGCATTGTGTGGTAAGTGCTACAGAAGCATCTTTAGAATTCATCTGAAAGTCCTCTATGAATTCAAGAGAGAGGAATTACTTTGCTGATAAGATCATGAAAGACCTTCTCATAGTCTTTACAGTAATAAAGCGAGAAATAGTAATAAAGCGAGATCTTCAAGAATTCTTAAAAGGAGTTTTGAGGAATCAAGGAAACTACAAGGAGAAGCAACACTGTAAATAAATATATGGAAGTTGAAAATGGATCTTCAACAAGTGATAAACAATCCAGGTAAGATAAACCATTTCAAATTCTGTAACTTAGAGGGAAAAGTAAGTTTAAGTTCATAAATAGAGGGCCTTGAATTCTAAGCTAGAAAAAAAACATTTAAGCAGAAGTAAGATATGATAAAGGAAGATTTAGTTTGGTACTCATATATCAGATGAAACAGAGAGAGAGAATGAAGGGTTAATAGTTAAGAGGCTTCTGCAACAGGCCAAGGGAAAACAGTCAGAATTAACGTGGTGTCATTAAGAAGGAGGAGGAAGGCATAGACAGGCAACAAGGAACCCGTTTTACAAAAGGTATGAAAAGTATTTAAATGAGAAAAAGAGGCCAGGCACAGTGGCTCACACCTGTAGTGCCAGAACTTTGGAGACTGAGGCGGGAAGATTGCTTGAGCTTAGGAGTTCAAGACCAGCCTAGGCAATATGGCAAAACCCTGTCTCTACAAAAAATACAAAAATTAGCTGAGCATGGTGGCATGTTCTGTAGTCCCAGCTACTCGGGAGGCTGAGGTGCGAGGATAGCTTGAGTCCAGGGGGTCAAGGCTGCAGTGAGCAGTGATCGCACCACTACACTCCAGCCTGGGCAACACAGTGAGACAAGTCTTCAGACAAAAAAAAAAAAAAAAATGAAGAAGAAGAAGAGGAAGACGAAGGGGTTTTATATTGGAGGAGAGAAAATTCAGATCAGAGGTTTTAAGCATTAGGAACCTCTGACTACAAATGTGATGGTAAGATAATCAAAAATAAAGAATCCAAAAAGAGGAGTTTCGGCATTTGGATAAAATGCAGGGTGGGTAAATAATGAGTTAGATTTTATAAATATTGAATATGATTGCTGAAAACGTAACTGGTTTTTATTCATACAGAAACACGGTACTAAAGCTTGGCAAAGAGATAAGCATCGCAGCAGGGGGAATCTGAGTCACCTCCCAGATGTGACAGTGGAAGCTATGGTCATATTATCAACTTAGATATATTTTCCAAATCTATTTTGTTAGAAGGAAATAAATAGAACACATGCAAAAGATAGTTTACCTCATTTTGGCCATATCCACCAGTATCTTGTTTGTTGCCAGAATAGCTGGGGGAACATCCATTTTATTGGCATGTTTCTGCCTAGCTTCTACCAATTTGCCATATAACACAATCTGAACAAAAAACAAAGAAACAACACTTTTTAAAGTGTACTTAAAAGATCTAGTCCTTTATTTTTAGAGCTTCAGATACCACATTTTTCCTTAGAATGAATATAAACTGAAATATAAACTCAGACTCTTAGCTTAAGAACAATTTTTAAAATGCTGGCAAAATACAGAATTTTAAGCATACATAGAATCATAACTATCCTATCATAAACTAATTACCTTTTTACAAAAGCCTTACCTGAGTCTCCTGCTCTTGTGCCGAAATAACAGGCTGTGAGGAACTGTAAGCTTTTTCTGGTGACTGTACCATGATACTAAAATATTTAAAAGAAAATAAATAATAAAAGCTTTTCTTTCTCCTCATTGACTTTCTATTTCATCCCCTAAATGAGAATGTCTTTCCAAATCAGTACAAACATTTATTCTTCATGATACCAGTAAGGTAATTTGTTATTTAAATGACAACAGCCTAGATTTTAAACATTTTGGATCAAATACATTCATTATAATGGTAAAGTTAAAATTGCAATTTGAGTTCATCACAAAATTGGTGTTTTAAAAAGAGCATTTGTCCCATTCTCTTCCTCAACCAACTGCTTTTGAAAGAAAATATTCTTTCATCCATACTGAAGATGACACGTTAACGTCTTTTAACTTACTGGGATACAACAGGTTTTAACCAAGGTTTCTTAACCTACTGGGAAACAATGTATGATCCTTGCTATAACATCATAGATTTTTGGCTGGTGGGGAAGAAGAAACAAGAAGAGAACAAGAAGCATTCTTAGAAATTAAAAATTTGATAACTAAAATTAAAATGTCACTAGGTAAGAGGGGATAAAAGTCAAGGAACACTCCAAATGAGTAAACAAATAATGAGAGATTGAAATAGGAAAAAAGAAAATTAGTAAAAGGAATACTCAAAACCAAGAAAATAAAACAAAGACAATCACTAACACAAGGAAAAAAATAAAGGTAGTGGTGGCCATAATAACACGGTTGGGTTAGTAGTGTGTATATAATATTTGTGTAGTTTTAATAATATAAATACAATATTATCATATTATATTAAAAATATATATAAACAAATTATTAATATGACGAAATATAATTATATTGGAGGAGGAATGAAGGAGGGGAAATCTACCATAATAGGAGATGAGTAGAAAATTTCTAAAATTGCTAAGTCAAAAAAATAGTACTCTAAGCGTGTCATTCAGAAATAAGAAGGCACACGCCAGGGAAATCAGCTGGAAGATTTGAAGATGACAGCTTCTATGAATAAGAGCAAAGTGGGTTTGGGAAGAGTGTGGGCTGGTATGCTTGTCATAAGCCACTAATTTCCAATTAACTTTTTATATCAAGTATAGGTATTATTTTAAGGAAAATTTAAATATATCTTAAAATAATATTTATTCATATATAAGCACCCTGCTCACTTCTGTACACTAAGCCCATATATTTAAATTAACTTCTGGACTACTCCACAGGTATCCCAAACTCAGTATGTCTATCACTAAACTCTTGATTTTAATAAGAATCGACTTCTTCCAAATTCCTATTAATATTGATATTCTGACCTACTCTCCTGAATCACAAATATTCTTCATGACTTCTAGAATAGTGAATATTTTCCAGAAGGTTTTCTGGAAAACCTCTTAAAAACCCATCTCTGATAATCACTATCTACAGAAGCTAAAGCATTACAAACTGTATTTCTTAAATAATAATACTTAAAAGGTTAATTTACTTCTTGATCCATGAGCTACAGAATGGATGTTAAGCGAGCAGGCATGAAAACAACGTTAGTCTCCTTGTATGTCTCCATTACGGCTCTTGGTGACTAAGTGTTGTCAATGAGCAATAACATTTTGAAAGGAATCTTTTGTCTAAGCAGGTTTCAACAATGGGCTTAAAGTATTCAGGAAACCATGCTGTAAACAGGTATCATCAAGACTTTGTTGTTACATGTATGTAGCAAAGGCAGAGTAGATATAGCATAATTCTTAAGGGCCCTAGGATTTTCAGAATGCTAATTGAGCACTGGCTTCAACTTAAAGTCACCAGCTGCATCAGCTTCTAACAAGAGAGTCAGCTTGTCCTTTGAAGCTTTGAAGCCAGGCATTGACTTCTCTCTAGCTATGAAAGTACTAGACAGCTTCTTCTTCTGGTAGAAAGCATTTGGTCTACATTCAAAGTCTGTTAGTGCAGGCACCTTCATCGATGATCTTAGCTAGATCTTCTGGATAACTTGCTACAGCTTCTATACCAGCACTTGCTGTTTCACTTTGCACTTTTATGTTATGGAGATGGCTTCTTTCCTTAAACCTCATGAACCAACCTCTGCTGGCCTCAAACTTTTATTCTGCAGCTTCCTCACCTCTCTCAGCTTTCAGAGAATTGAAGAGAGTTAGGGCTTTGCTCTGGATTAGGCTTTGGCTCAAGGGAATGTTGTGGCTGGTTTAATCTCCTATAAAGACCACTAAAACTTTCTCCATATCAGCAAAAAGCCTGCTTTGCTTTCTTATCATTGTTTTATTCACTGGGGTAGCATTTTTAATTTCCTTCAGGAACTTTTGCCTTTGCAAACTAACTGTTTGGTGCAAGGGGCCTAGCTTTTGGCCTATCTCAGCTTTCGACATGGCTTCCTCACTAAGCCTAATCACTTTTAGCTTTTGATTTAAATTGAGAGACATGTGAATCTTCCTTTCTCTTAAACACTTAGAGATGGGCCAGGCACAGCGGCTCACACCTGTAATCCCAGCACTTTGGGAGGCCAAGGCAGGCGGATCACCTGAGTTCAGGAGTTCAAGATCCACCTGACCAACACGGCAAAAACCCATCTCTACTAAAAATACAAAAATTAGCCAGACATGATCGGGGGGCGCCTGTAGTCCCAGCTACTCAGGAGGCTAAGACAGGAGAATCGCTTGAACCCGGGAGGCGAAGATTGCAGTGAGCCGAGATTGTGCTACTGCACTCCAGCCTGAACAACAGAGTGAGACTCAGTCTCGAAAAAAAAAAAAACACACTTAGAGACTATTATAGAGTTATTAATTGGCCTAATTTCAATTTTGTTGTATCTCAGGGAACAGGGAGACCCGAGGAGAGGGAGAGAAATGGTGAATGGCCAGTCAAGAACTACCAAAATATAACACAAAGACATGACAACAGAACATGCTATTGGAAAATGGGGCTAATATGACCTGTTTGACGCAGGGTTGCCACAAACCTTCAATTTATAAGAAATGCAATATCTGCAAGTCACAATAAAGCCAGGCACAATAAAACAAAGTATGCCTGTATATATTTCATACAAAGAAAAATAAATAGTGTCTTGATGCTAGAGGTAGACAAATATAGACTTGAAAGCCAGCTCGGCCATTAGCTGTATGCTCTTGAACAAGTTTGTCAACTTCTTAACCCTTGGTATCTTCAACTATAAAATGGCGATAAATAGTAACAGCTGTTAGACTCTTGTAAGAATTAAATGAGATATCACATATAAAGTTCTTAGCATTTAACATAATGCCTGACAAACAGTAATATCCAAGAAGTGTTAGCTATTAAATTAACATTATTCTTTTATAGCTCACTTTGATCATTCTAATACTGAAAAGCTTATGTTTTAAATTTAACTTCCTTTTGCCAATGAAATAGCCCAACATCTGACAGTTCTTTCTCTTTAGAAAAAAAAGTACTCATAAAGCAAGTATAGAACATAGAAATATGGAACTCTGTACCTTTTTTTAGAAATGTTACTCCCAGAAGAAATCTTATCACATGGTTTATAAGAATATAACTTCTCCAAGTTAGACTGCATTTAAACATATAAAGGTCCATTAAAAAAAGTTTCAAAAAACTTTTAAATGTGAAGAAAATAAGAAACAAAAATCTCAAAATCACAATTTTTTCTTTGCCTAATCAAGCTGTCAAATTAATCACCTGAAAATAACCTCCTAAATTATCAGTTTCTAAAGTTCTAAAGGTAGTTAGAAACGCATTCCAATGTCTTATCTCTCCCAAAACTACAGAAAATAAATCATCAAAAGAATGTTCTAAGATACAGCAAGTGCCAAAGTTATAAAAACAATTCATTTACATTCTGCATACTTCAATAAAGCAGAAAAAGTTCACCAGAAAATGTAATTCACTATGCTTGCCTATTATTCCAGTGTTCTAATTAGCTGAAGTCTGCCAGTGGATTAGTATTTAATCTGTAATAGTTATCTAAGATCTTAGGTCAAAAAAAGCAAGAAAGTACATAAGTGTGTGTGCATGTGTGTGTGTGTGAGAGAGAGAGAGAGAGAATGTGTGTGTGTGTGTGTGTGTGTGTGTGTGTCTTTAATAAGAACACTTAGGAATCAATTTTTTGATCAACTATAAGTATTATAACATGTGACTACTCTAAGCCAAATGAGTTAGCAGATAGGTTTAAAAGAACCCAAATTAATTCCTTTCTCAAATACCTCCAATTCTTTATTAGCCCCAGAAATTATATACAATAAATTTTAGTCTGTTCACATCACTTCCCTGGCCGAATTTTATGCTTTGTTATATATGCCATTTTCTCTTTAATTGGAAAGGAATTAAAATATAAAATTTTAAACAGAATTTGAATCAATAAAGAATGAAATAAATCAGAACAATTTCTTTAAAACAAACCTTCTTCTCTGTACTTAATTCAACTGGTACTTGATTATAACAATGCTCTTTGGTGCCCGAAGATACAGTTTTCGAACTAAAAAATAATAAAATTAAATTATTTCAAATGTTAAGATGCAAGTATCTAATTCATGAATCATGATACTCCATTCTCAGAAAGATGAATAAGATATTACCCTTTTAGAACTGGTGATTCTTAAAACTGATTTTTTTTTCTAGAAAAAGCTCTGGAAGCTTTAAGATGTTTGAAAGAAAAAACTCACAAGTGATCAATCACATGTAAAGGTACAAAAAAGTAAGCAACAAATGTATTCCCTTTCCACTTCTACACACCAGAAGTAAATATGATATATGGATTCCTCCGCATTGATTTCAGTACTGCTTCTTTAATCGATGAGAAAGAAGTTTTCTAAATACCATGGTCAGCTACTTCCCATCAACCAAGAAAATGTTCTGGCTGGGAGCGGTGGATCATGCCTGTAATCCCAGTAGTTTGGGAGGCTGAGGCAGGAGGATCACTTGAGCTCAGGAGTTCAAGACCAGCCTAGGAAGCACTAGAAGACCCTGTCTCTATACAAAAAATTAAAATATATTAGCTGGGCATAGTAGTGCATGTCTGTAGTCCCATCTACTCAGGTGGCTGAGGATTACTTGGGCCCACGAGATCGAGGCTGCAGTAAGCTATGATCGCACCACTGCACTCCAGCTTGAGCAACACAGAGAGACTCTGTCTCTTAAAAAAGAAAAGTGCTCTATGACTTATCCTTTCCTCACAGATCCCTTCCCCCAAACTGACTAAAATAGGCATACAAAAACAAACAGGTAATTCATTTTACTTGTGAGAGGCCTATAAACTGGTATAATTTGAATCACATAAATAGCAACAAAAAATGCAGAAGTTACAAGAAAAAAACTGAAAAATGAACCTAGGCAGAAGCAACTTCTTTGGACACAATTCTTCATTAGCTTGAAGGATGAGGCTCTGAGATTCTGTATTAGCTTTATGAAGCCAATTTCTACCCTATTAAAAGCAAAAAGGATCTTTTAATGTGGAGTGGGAAACAAAATTAAGTCAAACAGGCAGACTCCTACACCGTTTACCTTTTTCGTAAGGGCGCAAATCTTCATAAATTTGTTATACCGAGAAACTTCTACCAAGAATCCCTCAGTGATCAGCTGACGGGAAAAAGCCTTCCACCAACTCTCTGTTTGATCCTTGCCAGTGCCAAATAAACTGTGCCTGCGATATTGATCGGCAAGACGCTGAGAATTCTGAAATTAGGAATAAAATCAGTATCTAAAAATGCTAATTTAAACATATAGGTTAAGTAAAACACAGACTTGTCTATTGATTCTTTGGATTTACACTAAATTTCAACTTTAAAAACCTACAAAAATGTTATACCCATCGTGCTCATTCTGAACACTCCACTCACAAATAAATACATTATCAAAATAATGTTCCTTTTGTGTCTTAAATAATGGCAGGAAATTTCACATATAATTCAGATGCATTGCCCAGTGTATAGGTTTGGATATGTGTTTGGAACACTTAGCTTTTGTTATTTAGACCTCTTAGCAAACTCACATTATTGTTTGAAACAGTGATCAAAATCCTACAGCTCGAGACTAGAACCATGAGAATTATATAAAACGCAATGCGGCATGCCTGTAATCCTAGCACTTTGGGAGGCCAAGGCAGGCAGATCACGAGGTCAGGAGATTGAGACCATCATGGCTAACATGGTGAAACCCCGTCTCTACTAAAAATACAAAAAATTAGCCAGGTGTTGTGGCGGGCACCTGTGGTCCCAGCTGCTCGGGAGGCTGAGGCAGGAGGATGGCGTGAATCTGGGAGGCAGAGCTTGCAGTGAGCCGAGATCACGCCACTGCACTCCAGCCTGGGCAACAGAGCAAGACTCCATCTCAAAAAAACAAAACAAAACAAAACAAAAAAACGCAATGCGAACCAACAGCTATTCATCCATGAGTGCAGTGCAACAACTCACAGCTTCCAATGCATTTTTGTTTTTACTGTGCTTTTGCACATGATACACTGCAAAGTTTACTTAATCATTTACAATTTAGCTGCTTCACTGAGATATACCAGGAAAAGCAGGTGCATGCTAAACAGCTGATGGTTTTGAGGTATGTTTTCCTAAGTGAAGGGAGAATTCCTACGGGACGCTCTTCACAGCCATCAAGTTCTAGAAATATTAAGAAAGCTAGTCTGTCATATGCAATTCTGTTGTTCTCTAACAGAGAGGACTCTCCTGCTTTCACTTCATATAGAAATACTTTTTCATTCACTTTGTTCTCTTACTGCCTCTTTCATTCATCCTACACATTTAAATACTACTTTTAAATATATGTAGTATATGGGCCAGGCACAGTGGTTCATGCCTGTAATCCCAACACTTTGGGAGGATCACTTAAGCCCAGGAGTTCGAGACCATCCTGGGCAACACAGTGAGACCCACATCTCTACAAAAAATAAAAAATAAAAAATTAGCAAAGTGTGGTGGTGTGTACCTGTTGTTCCGCTACTCAGGAGGCTGAAGCAGGAGCTGAGGCAGGAGAATCGTTTGAGCTCAGGAGATCAAGACTGCAGTGAGCTATGATGACACCACTGCACTACAGACTGAGCAACAGAGTGAGACCCTGTCTCAAAAAAAAAAAAAAAAAAAAAAAAAAAAAACAAAGAAGTATACAAACATAGAGCTTTATGGCAAATTACTCTTATTTAATGTATTTGTGATGAATGTGGCCGATTGTAATTCAAGGGTCATTCTAACTTCCATCCACTATGAATTCTTCCACTGCAGAATCTGGGACAATACAAATACTAGTTCTCAAACTCCCTTTCAGCTAGGGTTCTGGGTTCTGTATATTTGCATGACAGGTATAAGCAGGAAGTGAGGCTAAGGCTACTCCTCTGCTGTTTCTGCTAGCATGCATGATTGTGGAGGTATTTAATTTTTATAAGAAAGTATTAGCAAAGAACCCAGCATACAATGATGAGCTTCGTAAGTATCAACAGGCATCCATTTTGTGGTTACAAATTACAGCAGGTTCACGTTGGTTTGCAGAGCATGCAAAGGTAGAAGCTTCCTGATTATTACAGCTTCCTACTCAATGTAGTCTGGGGTTAGGTGCTATAGTGGAAGCTTCCCAAGTTGACAGATGGCTTCTTGATCACAGAAGAGGCCACAGCTCCCTTGGTGAACTATTTTGCAGTGGAACCTTGTCAACAATATTATAAGCCATTTAATACCTAGTAATAAATACCTTTCTACTTAAATTCACTAGAATGATTATGAGCAATTTGAATTTCTATATAAAAATGCAGTATAAAATTTTAGAAAACGGTAGATTATAACTCAATATTTTTACATTTCATATATATCCTAATGAAGGTTTAATAATCAATTAAAAATCCAGGGATCAAAATTAAAAGAATATATAAAATGAGTTGCAGCAAACTTAACTAAGGCAACTATAGGGCTCTCTATTACAAACGTAATGGTTTTATTGAATTGATGAAAACATTATGATTACAGGTTTACCTTTTGGAATGTTAAAAATGCAAATACAAGCCTTCTAAAACAGAACAAGAACGACATACATAAATGTAAAGATACATTGTTTTAATATTTGAGAATCTTCCCCAGTATATGACTTGAAAACAAAAATAAATCACATCATAAATATTAATATGCTTATGTCATTTACTACTATTTCCAAGGTGTAGATTTGCCAAAAAATAGGCTAAGCAAGGGTGATCTTTCACAAAAAGGAAGCTAGGATGAAATTAGGTAAAGCAGGGTAAGTTCCCACCAGAGACAAACAGAGCAGTGCCTATACATTGGACTTAAAACATAGGCTTCTGATAGGTATAGTTAAGAGAATCTGTACCATGCTCTCCTAAATCTTAACAATAAAATAGAATAGAATTTTTTAATAGCTAAGGAATGAATTTTGGTGTCCTGATGATTATATTTATTAAAATATGATCAGAACAAGATTTAGAGAAATATAAACACCCAGGTACAATGTGGCACCTTCTACCTTGTTAACAAGTCCTGTCTGTGCTAACCCTGACTTAGGGTTGATTTGAGTAGAATGTTTAAAAGTCAAACATATGTAGCATAAACAAGTCTAGAGATCGAATGTACAACATGAGAATTACAATTAATACAACTGAACTGTATTTGGGATTCCTGCTAAATGAGTGGATTTCAGCTGCTTTTGCCACAAAAACAAAAAAATGGTTAACAATATAAGATGATGGATATGTTAATTAGTTTCATTATAGTAATCATTTTACTATAGGTAACCCATAACATCAAATTGTATACTTTAAATATACATAATATAATTTATTTTTGTAAGTAAAATAAGATAAAACATCATAGAATTTCAGAGCTGGAGGGAATGCTGGAGCTCTTTGATTTATCTTAGTCATTTTTACCCATATTGTTAACAAATTATCAGAGGTTCAAAGATGTTAAATGGTAGCCTAATGTGTCACTGTGTAGCCGTACTAAAGCTAGGACTAGAACACAGGCCTCCAGATAACTAGTTCTAATTTTTTTTTTTGGAGACAGGGTCTCTCTTTGTCACCCAAGCTGGAGTGCAGAGGTGTCATCATAGCTCACTGTAGCCTCAATCTCCTGGACTCAAGGATCCTCCCACCTCAGCGTCCCAAGCAGCTGAGACTACAGGTGTATTCCACCATGCCCGCTAATATTTTTAAAACTTTTTTTGTAGAGGTAGGGTCTCGCTATGTTGCCTAGACTGGTCTTGAACTCCTGGGGTTGAGAGATCCTCGTGCCTCGGTCTCCCAAAGTGCTGGGATTACAGGCATAAATGCTAATTTTTTCTTATTATACCACACGCATGCACAAGCACTCACACGCACCCCCTCCACACACACACCCAATATACATACATGTGGGGGCTCTTAAGCTACATTACCTGAGTTCACGTCATAGCTCTGGCAAGTTACTTATCTTCTATTTCCTCATCTAATATGCAGGTATATTCATTTTTATCTCTTGAGGATGCTGTGAAGATTAAGTCCATAACCAGGACAGAGCCTGGCTCTGTAATATTAATCTGCTTTTTATTAGTTAACAGCTGATCCTTTAACTCAACCTGAATTTCTTAATCTAAGAGTAAAAAGCATGACTTGGTATCTAGTTGGCTTTCCTTCCCTGGAACACTTGTTAATGGTACTCTACATCTGCTAGGGGTCACCTTGGTAGTAGTAGATTCTATTGCTTGCAAACTAATAACTTCAAAGGTATTAAGTTCCCTAACTAGAATCACTAGCTCTCTAAACACTAAAAATTACACTTCTGGCTTTTCCTTTCATAAGCATAAAAAAACCATTTATTAGTATGAAACAATGAGGTTTTATCTGATCAGTAGGGATTAACTGTCCCTTCCCCTCATGATCAATAACTATAAAAACTGTGTACTATTTGAATAAATTTACATTGTCTTGTTTCCATGGCAATCACCATGAAGAGGATGATATACCTTTGCTTTAAAGCAGAGTATCTTTGTTTTAAAGGAATCATATTCCCTTTTCAACTAGGAATCCAAACTAAAACAAGTAACATTAAAAAAAAAAAAAAACAGAATTAAAACAGAGTACAGTAAGAAATTTCAACAACAAATGCTTAATGATTTCTCACTCTGAACAAGGCCTCCTCTGTTAATTGTTTAAGTGTTTAGTTAATTTTGTAGGTTGTCCACTGATAAGAGTAAAAACTGCCTATGATGAAAAAGCTGCTATACAGAACATAGCTTACGGATTTGGGCATTCATTCATTCATTCATTCATTCATTCATTCATTCGAGACAGGGTATTGCTCTGTCACCCAGGCTGGAGTGCAGTGGTGTAATCATGGCTCACTGCAGTCCTGAATTCCTAGATTCAATCGATCCTCCCACCTCAACCTCCCACAAGGAGGACTACACGCACACACATCACCACTCAGCTAATTTTTAAATTTTTTTTTATAGAGACGGAGTCTCGCTATGTTGCCCAGGCTCATCTTGAACTCCTGGTCTCGAGCAATCCCCCCACCTCGGCTTCCCAAAAGTGCTGAAATTACAGGTGTGAGCTACCATGTCCATTGGGCATAAAAATACAAATTTAAAACTGTATGTTACAGCACAATAAATAGAAAAGACACTAGACTAGCAGGCAGGAAATCCATTTGCTCATCCTGACTCTGGCACAAAGTAACAGTATGACCTAGGACAGGTCATTCAGCTTTCAGTTTAACTCAATCTCAACTACAGTAAAATAAGGCAATAGGGTTAAATAGTCTTTTTACCAGTGTTAGCTCTAAGCAGGTATACTTCTGTGGGATGCCATCTCAAAAGAGAAATTTTCAGGCCGGCACAGTGGCTCATGCCTGTAATGCCAATATCTTGGGAAGCCAAGGTGGGCGGATCACTTGAGGTCAGGGGTTCAAGACCAGCCTGGGAAACATAGGGAGACCCTGTCTCTACAAAAAAGTTAGCTGGGCATGGTGGCATGCACCTGTAGTGCCACATACTCAGGAAGCCAAGGAAGTAGGATCGCTTGAACTGGAAACTTTGAGGCTGCTGTGACCTATGATCATGCCACTGTACTCCAGAGCCTGGGTGACATATCACATTCTTTCCCTTTATAAACCAGGTGGAAAAATAAGGGTCACCAAAACTGACATATCATGGAATGTGGAAATCTAACTGATCGGCTAAGTGTTAGAATAAAGAGAACTGACTGGCCAGGGTACATGACCCAACGTATCAGTTTCCGGTAAAAGCAAAGTCTTTACAACGGTATCTGACAGAGAAAAAAAGAAAAAAGAAAAAGAAGAGAGAAGAGAAGAGAAGAGAGAAGAAAAGACTTGCCACTTCTCCATATTAACTTCTTTAAAAGTCACAGTTGCTTTTTGTACTGTGAATGCCATTCTTCTCCACCATTCTTCCCTCATTCCTTCTCTGAGTGAATGTCCAAATCCACAGTATCACACCAAAATCTACTATATATTCCACAAAAATAGGAAGTTCTAGTGATACCTTCACAAAGACTCCTCTAATTTCTCTAAACACTCTCTCTCTTCAGAACTTCAACAGCATTTATATGTATTCATACGTCCCTTATCTAATTCTCTGCTACATTACACTCATTTCTTCTTAAGTAACATCTTCCATAATAGATGATGCGTCTCATCTAATTTAGCTTTGAATCCCCCCACAAAATGTAATACAGTGCCTTATACAAAAATACATGTTTAATAACTAGTGGAAAAAATAGCCATAAACTCCAACTCAAGAAATTTTAAACTCAGCCTGGCACAGTGACTCTCGGTGCTTTGGGAGGCCAAGGGTGGTGGGTATCACCTGAGAGCCCTGGAGTTTGAGACAGGCAGGGCAACATGGGGAGACCCCATACCTACAAAAAAATTAAAAAATAAAAAAAATAGCTGGGTGGGGTGGCACCTGTGGTCCCAGCTACTCTGGAGGCTGAGGTGGGAGGATTGCTTGAACCCAGGAGTTCAAGGCTGCATCAAGCTATGATCACACCACTGCATTCCAGCCTGGGCAACTCCTAAGTTCTGAAACTACAAAAAGCCCACAGCTATTGTTAAAAACACTTTAACTTTTTTTGGTGGGGGGGCTTGGGGGAGGACGGGGGTGCTTTTTCCCAGTCCCTACAGGCCAAAGAAGCTCACAGCTGCAACTTTAGAGCTTCAGAAAGTCATTGTGAACTATAATTCTATGTGCAAAATAAAACCAAAAGATGAAGTAGTGATAATTATCTCTAGGAATATATTTCATTCAGATGAAACAGTTTGTCTAGAAAACAGGATGGATAATCCTCTCCCGTTAGATAGTTTGAAAATTACAAGAGTGATTAAAACTACCAATAGTTTCAACAAATGTCTATAGTCAAATCATGTATTATCAAAACTACCGTCTAATTCTAGTGCCACGACAAGATTTGGCATTCTGCTAACGTGATCAGAAGAGAAGTTTCACTTAATCTGTCAGTTATGTAAATTAATGAGTGTGTTTTTATTTTCTAATCTATAAAATTAAGGTCATTGCATATCTTATCACATATTTATACAGAATGTTTAAAGATTTTTATACAGTAAGTTGTTCAGACAGCTAAAACGAAGTTCCTTAAGTAATAACTTCACTGTTTAATTTCTAATCAAATTTGCAGCTTCAAAACAAAATTTTAAACTCTATTCACAAACTCCTAGATAGGCTACATAACTGTTTATACTATTCAGAAAAATCTTGTGT
The DNA here is from genome assembly GCF_000001405.40 of Homo sapiens. Taxonomy (NCBI): domain Eukaryota; kingdom Metazoa; phylum Chordata; class Mammalia; order Primates; family Hominidae; genus Homo; species Homo sapiens. The sequence continues at coordinate 31,134,382 of NC_000008.11, read as the reverse complement.
AAGACAGAATTATATGCTGCTACTATGTTATATATTTATATACATTATCTCTTTAACTAAACTCCAATTATTCCCAGTTTAAAATGTTTATTTTACAGCTCAAAATCATGTACAAAGATATTAATTTTTCCTAAGTTGGTTAAAGGGAACATTTCACTAAATTCTCAAAGGAATTATAACGATAATTTTAAAAACAATATCCCAGGATACCAAGATCACTGAAATGGGGAGAAAAAAAAACAATGCCTTATTTTCATTGCATTTAGTGTCTACAGATTTTCATTAAGTGGTACTTTTAGAAAAGTTTTATCTAGCAAGGGTAGTGTAATATTTCACAAAGGATAGACTTCTTAATTTGAGGACTCCCAGAAGAGACTGTCAGTGTAAGTGGTCTGATTTGGTTTTTTAATAGGTGAAATCTGATCTCTCTTGTGGCCAGTTCAAGTTTGTCAAGGAGCCTACTTAGACTTATTTGTTGATACTGGATATGGCTGGATTACACCAAATTAAAACAAGAATAATTTTTATAAATTATACATTCAACTGAGATACACAGGTTCTGAAGGTGATAGAGACAGAATACATTTTCACAGATCTCAATTATATTTAAGCTGTCCCTTACAACTAAAATTCTTGTTATAAAAAATACAGTTTCACTCACAGCACCTAAAATAGTCCTTAGGCAACACTTCTACTATTAAATTTCTAATCCAACTTGTGATTTACAAACAAAATTTTAAACTCCATTTAGAATCTAAAAACATCAGTACATGAAAAATCAACAGAAGTTTTCAATATATTTCATTAAAAATATTTCACAACTAATTTAATAAATATGTTTCTTTTTTTTTTTTTATTGAGACAGAATCTTGCTCTGTCGCGCAGGCTGGAGTGCAGTGGCACAATCTCAGCTCACTGCAAGCTCCGCCTCCCACGTTCACGCCATTCTCCTGCCTCAGCCTCCAAAATGTTCCTTTCTAAAAATACAAACTCAGAAAGTATTTACATGAAGCATTCGAGTATTTCACAAATAAATGCTTACCTATTCTACATTCAATACGAGAATTTTAATCTCTATTTTAAAGTACATTTTTAATAAATATGCATATTTGCAAAGTATCCTATCTCTTGCTCTTGATTTATTCAGCCATTATCAGTGTGTAATACTTAGCTTTGCTTTATAGACTTCTAAATCAGGGGAAAAAATCATATAAAGGAAAGGACTACAGAACAAGCTCTTGGACTGCAACGGTCCTATCTTATTCACATTTGTACCCGTGGTTGTTTAGAAGAATACTGGAACATCAATCACTCCAAAAAAAAGTAACTGAATTTAATTGATTATTTATTCATTAGTAAAGGCAAAAACCACAATTTTCTTATAACTTTAAATACTTCTGATAGGAAACAGAAGGAAAAATAAATATGTCCCAAATATTGTTACTGAAATTAGACATTTAAAAAATAATCCCTATAACTAAAGTTTTCCTTGAAGAATTTAATGGTTTCCTGGACAAAAGGACAATTTTGTTCTACCTGTCCCTTGATACAATGAAAGTTAACTTTTCCTAATTATCCTAAGCAAGACTAGTCTAGGGATTCACCCAAATGCAATGTGATAAATTAACACAATGCTTCCAGACTGAGCTGCAGAGCTGAACATCGGCTTGAACATGAAAACAGCAGAAGATGCCATACACACGGGTTTTATCCAAAGTAATGAATGTAGTGTTTAACTGGAACTTAGTAAGACTCTATGAGTTCCTAGTCACCCATCTGAAGTCAAAGCTACAATCATAATACTGCAAACCTCTGAAGAAAAGTGTAATAGAAGTAAAAGAAGATCTATGAAGGGAATTCACAGATATATACTTACAGATCCTCGGAGAAATAAAATTGGAAGCCCAATTCCAAATTTTTCGCCTAAGATGTCCACAGCAGACAAAAGCTTAAATGCTTGTGGACCAAAGTCCCAGGATGTATCCTCTGAGTCATCCATGGAATAGCAATGATCCAATCTAAATAAAAATAATAACATTTGAAGAAAGCTTAGCAAAGGCATGTATCTTTAGAAATCAAAAGATTTAGCATAACAATTAGCCAAGTAAAAAATATCTCAAATGTGCCAACTGCTTCAGAAGCTATGAATAAAGTTCATTATACCCGAGTATGTAAAGTAGCTAAAATATGAAAATAAACTATTGTAGCGTAACAGATATGTTACGCTGATGGTTCTCAATCCTAGTGTCCTAGAAGCAAGTTTCATGGGAGGCACCTCAGACCACAGAAAGGAATAATGTCAATAATAGGACGAGCAAGCAGAGTTGCCATATTTATAGCTAGAACAGCTCCACTTACTTGACCAATTATATAAATATTGGACTTTAGTGTTAAAGGTGTGTTGCAAAAAAAAAAAAAAAAAAAGCCTTTCAGCTTAGAAAAAACACATCTCAGTTGCTGCCTCTTTCTTCTGCCACTCCTGGTCCTGTTTAGGGGCTCACTCATTCGGGGCAGACCTGGTACCTCTTTTGTGAAGCAGCAGCTGAGGAGACTGCCACACTCACCAGGGTCCACAAAAAGCCCAAGGAAAGTCAAGACTGAGAACAAGGATAATGTTCATTTGAAGGTTCATCTTAAACTGTGGTGCAGTTTAAGATGAACAGCCACGCACCACACCGCTTAGTAAACCAATGAAAGCCTATTGTAAGGGGCACGGTTTGCCAATGAGGCAGATCAGGTTTCAATTTGACAGGCAGCCAATCAATGAACCAGACACATCTGCACATTTGGAAGTGAGGCTTAAGACAAAACTGATGTGTTCCAGCAGCAGACATGGAGATGTCTACTAAAAGGGGGACCTGTTATTTTACTGCAGAACTCTGCTCTTCCAGACCAAGAAGACAGTCTCAATTAGAAAGCTACAATTTGGCCAGGCGCAGTGGCTCACGCCTGTAATCCCAGCACTTTGGGAGGCTGAGGCGGGTGGATCACTTGAAGTCAGGCATTCAAGACCAGCCTGGCCAACATGGTGAAAACCCATCTCTACTAAAAATACAAAAATTAGCCAGGCATGGTGGCATGCACCTGTAATCCCAGCTACTCAGAAGGCTGAGGCAGGAGAATGGCTTGAATCTGAGAGGCGGAGGTTGCAGTGAGCCAAGATTGGGCCACCACTACACTCCAGCCTGGGTGACAAGAGCAAAACTCTGTCTCAAAAAAAAAGAAAGTTGCAATTTGGTTCCACCACATCCTGACTACATAGTTTTCTCTATTCTTTCACCTTCCCCTTCCTACTCTTTTACTGCACATAAAGTAACTGGTGTATGTCCACAAGCATATTGCTTTTCTTTTCTTTCTTTTTTTAACTAAATGGCCAATAATATGTTTAGATTGACTTCGATGGAGATGGGGTGGGCAAAAGAAGCATTGGTTCTGTGAAAAGACTCCCTTTGTCCCCTAGTGGCCTGCTCATTCAGCTCTTATCTTTATACTCCAGGATGTTATTTTGCTGTCATAGTTTTAGCAAAAAACAATATAAAAATCCTTGCATACCTTGTTCAATTAGAGAATTTTAATGTTTTTCATTTATCATTGTAAAACCAAGGACAATTTTACAACTGTTTTTATGTAGCTGTTACTTGTGGGGCAATCTGTCTTTAAGTAGAAATAAATTACTCTAGTAATAATAACTCCAAGATAGTCTTCCCTTAGTCAAGTGTCTTGCTTAAATAAACTTCTTCTTTAAAATGAAAAAAAAAAAAAAACCCAAATCCTATGCTATAAATTGTTAAACGCTAACGACTGTAAAATATGACAAAAAGATTATAAACCTTTCATTTAAATAGATTTAGAAGTTAAATTCCTAAGTCACCCTTTGGGTAGATCTGAAACTATCATAAATTCAAATGAGAATTATTTAAGTAGGTTGAGAACAAAAGGACTCATTAAAGAAAATCTACTATAGAGTTCAACTACCTAATTCAATTGCTTTCCTTAGAGTAAGTATCTTTGAAATAGCAATAAGAATGCATTCAATATTCCAGATATAATAATGTTTGGGGGAAAAAAACTATGCTTAGGTTTATTCTCCTAATCTCTTTAGTGAGATGCTTAGCTGATTAATTTTCTTTTCTATTATGAGTATTTCAAGCTAATAAACTCCCACAAAGTACTATTCAATGTTGCCTCTTACCAGTTTTTTTTGTTGTTGTTATTAAAATTTTGTAGAGATGCGGTCTCGTTATGTTGCCCAGACTGGTCTTGAATCCTGGCCTCAACTGATCCTCTCTCCTCAGTCTCCCAAAGAGCTAGAATGACAGGTGTGAGCCACTGGGCCCTCTTACTAGTTTTTTTTTTTGTTTTGTTTTGTTTTTTTTTTGAGACAAGAGTGTCGCTCTGTCGCCAGGCTGGAGTGCAGTGGCCCAATCTCGGCTCACGGCAACCTCCGCCTCCCAGGTTCAAGCGATTCTCCTGCCTCAGCCTCCCAAGTAGCTGGGACTACAGGCGCGTGCCACCACGCCCAGCTGATTTTTGTATTTTTAGTAGAGACGGGGTTTCACCATGTTGGCCAGGATGGTTTCAATCTCTTGACCTCGTGATCCCCCAGCCTCGGCCTCCCAAAGTGCTGGGATTACAGGCGTGAGCCAACGCACCCAGCCTCTTACCAGTTTTAATGTATATCATTGTAACTATCCCTAAGTTCTAAAAATGTTAATGCATATTAATGTAGTTATCTGTAGGTTTAAAATTTTTTTTAATTTCCAGTTTGATTTTTTCTTTGAATATGAATTATTTAAGTGTTATTTTTAATTTCCAAATGCATGAGGATTTTGTTGTTTATCTGCTTATTTACTTCTAACTCAAGTGCATTATGGTCAGAAAATGTGGTGAGAAAACTTCCAAATTCATTGAAGAATTTTGAGACAAGCTAGTCTAGTACAGGGTCAGAAAACACTTTCTATAAAGGACCAGATAGTAAGTATTTCAGGCTTTATAGGCCATGATAGGCTTTGCAGCCAACTACTTAACTCAGGCAGCCCTACATAACACATAAACAAAAGGCATGGCTGTGTTCTGAGAAAACTTTATTTACAAAAACATTAGTCAAGCGTGATGGCTCATGCCTATAATCCCAGCACTTTAGGAGGCTGAAGTAGGAGGACTGATTGAGGCAAGGAGTTTGAAAACCAGCCTGGGCAACATACTGAGACTGTCTCTACCAAAAAAAAATTTGTTTTAATTAACTGGGTCTGGTAGTGCATGCCTGTAGCTACTTGGGAAGCTGAGGTGAGGCAAGAGAATTGCTTGAGCCCAGGAATTTGAGGTTACAGTGAGCTATGATCATACCACTGCTCTCCAGCCTGTGTGACAGCCTGTAGTGACCCTATGTCAAAAAAATAAAAAAAAATAAAACAGCATGCAGATTTGGCCTACAGGCCATAGTTTGCCAACCCATGCTCTAATACATAGTTTTTTTGTTTTTGTTTTTTAGTTTTTTTGTTTGTTCAGTTGGTTGGTTTTTTTTGAGACAGAGTCTCGCTCTGTTGCCCAGGCTGGAGTGCAGTGGCGCGATCTCGGCTCACTGCAAGCTCCGCCTCCTGGGTTCACACCATTCTCCTGCCTCAGCCTCCCGAGTAGCTGGGACTACAGGCACTCGCCACCACATCCGGCTAATTTTTTGTATTTTTAGTAGAGACGGCGTTTCATCATGTTAGCCAGGATGGTCTCGATCTCCTGACCTCGGGATCCACCCGCCTCGGCCTCCCAAAGTGCTGGGATTACAGGCATGAGCCACTGCACCCGGCCCAATACATAGTTTTTAGAAATATTCCATGTATGTTTGAGGAGTGAAGTCTTTCAGTGCTTCTCAATCAGTGTGCTACAAACAAGTGAGTTCTAAGAGTGCTGAAAGGTTAATCACTCCAGATCTTAGGGTTTTGGACAGAAACTGAACTCTGACAATTAGCCCAGTGTGTTATATACACATATCATTTGCTATGTGGGTCATGAAGTAAAAATACTTGAGATACACTGCTATAGTTGCTTGCTCTAGGGCTCCATATACTATGTATCTGATAAATCAGTATACTATGTATACTGATAAATAGTAATAAGCAAACTTATTACTATGTTGACCAAATTTTCTACAGTGTACTAATTTTTGGATTGTTTACCCTACCAATAACTTAAAATTATATCAAATTCTCCCACTTTGATGGTGGATTTGTTGATTTCTCCACCTCTTCTGTCGGCTTTGTGCTTTATGTATTTGCTGGATTTTTAAGTTTGTTTTTTTTTTTAAATAGAGATGGGGTCTTGCTATGTTGCCCAGGCTGTTCTCAAAGTCTTGGGTTCAAGCAATTCTCTTGCCTCGGCCTTCCAAAGGACTGGGACTACAGGTGTGAGCCACCATGCCCAGACTAGTTTTTATCATTATTATTATTTTTTTTATGTGAGACAGAGTCTTACTCTGATGCCCAGCCTGGAGTGTAGTGGTGCCATCATGGCTCACTGCAACTGCAGTCTCAACCTTCCAGGCTCAAGCGATCTTTCCACCTTAGCCTCCAGAGTAGCTGGGACTAGAGGCACATAATGCTATGCCTAGCTAATTTTTTTTATTTATTTTTTATTTTTGTAGAGACACAGTCTCGGTTTTTTGCCCAGACTGGTCTTAAAAATCCTGGTCTCAAGTGATCCTCCCACCTCAGCCTCCCAAAGTGCTAATACTACAAGTGTGAGCCACCGCACCAGCAAGTTACTGTTTGTTGGTTGTATTTTTTTTGTTTTTGTTTTTTTTTAAAGGTGCATAAAACAATTCTGTCTTCTTAGTGAAGAAGTATTTGTCATTACACAGAGAACAACTCCATCCCTAATAATGCTTCTTTTGTCTTACAGTAACGCAGCTATTGAACTTAGGTACGTAGCTAACCCACCAGGTAAATAATTTGTTTTTATTTTATTTTTTCAATTAACATAGGCAAATTGGTTGTATGTATGTGTAAAGTTCTACACATTTTAAGATATCCATAGATTCATCTAACTCCCATCACAATCAGGGCACGATAAATCTATCACTCCAAAATACTGCCTTGTACTATCCTTTGGAATCATACCTTCTCCCTCCCCCAATCTCTAATAACCACTGATCTTTTCTTCATCCCTCTAGTATAGTTTTATGTTTCAAAGACTATTATATAAATGGAATCATGCTATAGAATTGGTATTATTTTGTCTTCTAAATGTTTGGTAGAATTTGTCATTGAAATTCTTTGGGCTAGGGGATTTTATTTTCAGAGATTTTTAACATAGAATTCAATCCCTCTAATGGTTGTAACACTATGCAGGTTATCTAATTCACTGTAAGTTTAATTAGCTTGAGATTATCAAGAAATTGATCCATTTCATCTAAATTATTAAAGTTATGTTCTGAGTTGTTCATAGTGTTCCCTTATCATCCCTAGTAATACCTGGGAGGTCTGTAGTGAAATTCCCTCTTTCATTCCTGGTATTGGTCTTCTGTGTCTTTTCTCTTTCCGTCAGTCTTGTTAGAAGTTTATATCAATTTTGTTGATCTTTATACAGAATGAGCTTTTGAGTTGATTTTCTCTATTGTTTTCCCATTTTCTATTCACTGACAATGAATGCTGCATGCTGCTTTGTTTTTAAATTTTTTTGACATAGGGTCTCACTCTGTCACCCAGGCTGGACAGCAGTGGTATGACCATAGCTTTTCTATTCATTGACTTATGTTCTTTGTTATTTCCTTATGTTTACTTCATTTTGATTTATTTTGCTCTTATTTGCTTGTTGCTTAAGATGTAAGCTTAGGTACTGATTTGAGACCTTTCTTCTTTTATTACATAGGTATTTAATGCTATAAATTTCCTTCTCAGTATTGCATTAGCTGCATCTCACACATTTTGTATTTTCATTTCATTCAGTTCAAAACATTTTCTGATTTGCCTTGAGACTTCCTCTTTGACTCATGGATTTATTTATAAGTGTGTTATTTAATTTCTAAGGTTTAGAGACTTTTCTGTTATCTTTCTGTTATTGTTTTCTAGTTTAATTCCATTCTAGTCAAAAAATATACAAATACAAGATTCTTAAATTTGTTAAGGTTTGTTTTATGACTCTGAATATGATCCATGTTCATGAATACTGCATCTGCACTTGAATGTGTACTCTACTGTTGTTGGGTAGAATGTTCTAAAAAGGTCAATGAGATCCAGCATGCTGATAATCCTGTTCATTTCTTCTGTCTTCTTACTGATTTTTTGGTCTGTCAGTTTTATTGATTATTGAGAGATGCTGGAAGTCACCAAATGTAACTGTAGATTTCTCTATTTCTCCTTTCAGTTCTGTCAGTCTTTTTGTTAAGTAGATATATATATATATATATATATATATATTTAGGATGATGTCTTCTTGGTTGTGATGATTAATATTATGCATCAACTTGGCTAGCCTATGATGCTCAGTTGTTTGGTCAAACACTAATCTAGATGTTGCTGTAAAATATTTTGTAGACGTGATTAACATTTATAATCAGTTGACTTTAAGTAAAGGAGATTATTGTCAATAATGTGGGTGGGCCTCATCCACTCAGTGGCAGGACTAAAGGGCAAAAACTAGGTTTGCTAGAGAAGAAATTCTGCCTCAAGACTGCAACATCACCTCTTGCCTGAGTTTCCAGCCTATTGACCTGCTCTACAAATTTCAGACTTGCCAACCCCCACAATTTCGTGAGCTAATTCTTCAAAATCAGTCGCCTCATCCCTCTCTCCCCATATTTGTTCTTCCTTTCCCTCCCCATATATATATATATATATATATATATATATATCTCCATAATATCAATCGTCCTATTTCTCTGGTGAACCCTGACTGATACATTGGTGAAATGATTCTTTTACATCATATAATATCCTTCTTTATCCTGATAATATTCTTTGCTCCAAAGTGTCCATTGTCTGATATTAAAGTAACTCCAACTTCCTTTTGATTAATGTTTTCATGGAATGTAATGTTTCATTCTTTTTTAAACCTATCTATATAATTACAGTGGATTTCTTGTGGACAACGTACAGAACAGGGTCATGTTTTTAAACCAATTCTTACAATTTACGCCTTTAAATAATATTTTAGATCATTTACATTTAACATAACTATTGATATGTTTAGATTTAGGGCTACCATTTTATTGCTTTATCTATTTTTTAAGCAAAATACTTTAATATTGTTTGCTTTCTCATATCTAAACACATTCATTGTTTTGTTTAAAAAACTGAAATACTTATCATTCAACAAAAATTCAGTTAAACATGAAAAGGAAGAGAAAGAAAGACTTTTAGAATGTCCATCTATAATAAGAAATCTTTACCTGGACCTGCAATTATCACAGCATTTTTCAGTTCCCATAATTCCCAAGGAGGCTTTTTGTACTTGTTTGTCCTCAAAATGAGACAAGATGATTCTACCCAAGACAAAATTTTAAATTAAATAAAAGAACAGAAACGTATATGTTAAGTTCATTCCTGAAAATAATGAGGTAAAATCACCATTAATTGATTCACTTGGGACTTCATTATTTGACTTCAGTTTACTCAGACACAAAGAAGTTAGCCTTAAAAATTCAGCACACATGTAACAGCAACAAAATATTTTTTCAAAATACTGATAATTATTTAGCCAAATTGTTGTCTTAAAAGAGCATCATCCATAAATCCATACTATTGGCATAAAATAAATAATACATACTGTCTCCTACATCTGCTAGAATGAAGATATTTTTCCATCTTTGCCATCATCTTTAATTTGTATAATCGAAACTTCTCATTACGTATCTCAGTAAGAAGGTGCCTGTCGATTAAAAACATCACAGGAATATGTAAAACTGTATTGGCAACTTTCTTACTTTTTTTTTTACTTATTTTTTACTGTTTATTTTTCATTATCTACAAAACCCACACCCCATCAAGATAAAAAAACATTTCTAGCATCTCAGAAAGTTCTGTTGTATTCCTTTCCAGTCAATGCCCCCAACAAGAGGTAAACATTTTTCTGATTTTATAAAAATTGCTTTTGAAAAAAAATTCTTCCTGTGTCCAAGTATCAATTCTTTAGCTGCTTTGAAAAAGTATCAAAAACTCTAAGGTTTTTCATTTCAATTTACATGTCACACACTTTTTGGCTTCAAACAATGCTTCTACAATTTATTAATTTTTACCTTTTCCCAGTAAAAAGGTTATTCTTTATTTTATTTTGTATGAGAAACTAAAAGCATTGACGTAAGGAACACTGAAAGAAGCTCAAATTTGAACCTTTATCTCTATCAGCTCTTCAGGACTTCTCGCCCTCCAAAACTGTCTCTTAGTATTATGGGTTATTATGGGACACCAGTCAAGTATTAGAATTAAGTTCCTTTCTCAATCGATTATAACTGATTTGTTTGCCATATCAAATTTATTCAAAATTGTTAAATAACATTAAGGAGGTGTTTGTTTTTTAAAGTCAATGCAGCCATAATTCATCATGACTCTGTTAATTTCTAGTCTTCTGTGAAGAAAGCCCATGAATATCAAATATCAGATGATGACAATCTCCCAAATAGCTTTGCATATCTTTACAAGAACAAATGAAAGTCCATGTTAACTAGGTTTCAGATATTTCAAAAGAAAACAACGATTTACTTATAATATCTAAGGGACAGCATTAGTAAAATCCTCATCAAAATAGACTTCACTCACTAATAATTTGACTATTCAACCTTCTGACTGATTAAATACCTCTGCATAATTCTCAAGGAGTTCTGGAAAGTCTGAAGACACAAATGATCCGTTATTCAAAAACATTCTTGTCATCTGAAACGACCACCCACCATGCCCTTCCATGTAATTATCCCCAAAGTCTCTTCCAACTGTTGACTCTAGCTCCTAGGTTAACCATATACAGTTCCTCCTTATCCACAAGGGATACATTCCAAGACGTCCAGTGGATGCCTGAAGCCGCAGAATAGTACCAACCAAATCCTGTATGTATTATGTTTTTTCCTATATGTATATACCTATGAAAAAGTTTAATTTATAAATTAGGCACAGTACTCTTGTGCTTTGGGGTCATTCTTAAGTAAAATAAGCGTTACTTGAACACAAGCACTGTGATACTGCAACAAGTGACTAACAGACAGGGAGTAAATACAACGTGAATGCACCGGACAAAGGGATGATTCTAAGGGAAGTCGAGGCAGACTGAGTGGGATGGCACAAAATTTCATTACAGTACTCAAAGCCACCACTGATTTAAAATTTATAAATTGTTTATTTCTGGAATTTTCTATTTAACATTTTGGACGTGGTTGTGAGTAACTAAAACATAGAAAGTGAAAATGCAGACAAGGGGGTCCACTGTAATCTCATTCTTTCTACCTCAAGGGATAAAAATCAGTTCTTTTTTGCTTTATTTTGTTTGTTTAGTTCACCTCGTTCCCCTCCTATAGAAAAAAAAAAAAAAAAAAAAAAAAACAAGAAAAGAAATGCCCACACTCTTCAGAACTGGGTCCTTCCTTCCTTGTATTTGGTTCAGATGACCTACATTTAACTAATCTCGTCAGTGTCAGGACAAATTTGAGAAAACAAAACTACAACTCTTAACGGCAAATAAATAAATATTTATTTTTCTTTTGGGACTACAAAAATAAGTCCAGTATTCCACAGAATAAAAACAACTTGAAAATTAAAAAAATTCTAAACCATTCATGGCAATCATTTGGATCCACTGAAAGATCTACCGGACCGAGATTACTCTGCAAATTATTCTCTGTTAAAAAAAGATTACAATAACTTTGGGGTTTGACTATTTAAGGTAACAGCAAATGCAGACATTGGGACTTTGCCTGTGGTATGAATTCTGCAATTAAAAACATAAATTTACATGAAGATTACATGATGACTGGACAAGTTTCTTCTCTCAGTGATAGAATTATGGCATAAGATAGACTCTAAAAATTTTGTGAGTAACTGACCTTTCCAGGTGAGAACCAGCAACTTCATTTATTCTTAGACTTTCTAGTTTTTTCTAGAAGAGGGTTGTCACCAGGATGATACAGATCCCTCCTGAATCCTTGCTCAATTCTTTTTTATCCTGATTAATCCTATAGTTTTAGTTTCCTCAGGATTGATGCAAAGGGTAACCTGTCTATACCCAAAATTCAAGTATGGGTTTCTGGCACCACTATTTGATTTGAATCACTGTTATTTCCTGTTAAATCTTAATGAGATAACCATTTAAAATATCTTTTAAGACCCAGAGAAACAAGAATTGTATTTATTGATGAACCTTCAAATGCACAATATAAAACTGGATATTAATGTCCTCAGTACCTTTAACAAAATACACAAATAAAATCAGAACTGGTAGGAATCAACTTATGTTTGATATATTCCATATTTAATAGTAACATGTACAGCTGTGTTCTATCCCAATTATTTAAATTAGATCATAAGAAGCTTGACAGATACAACTGTCTAAAGGAAAACAAGAATTGTTATGTACAAAAAAAGGATGGTTTTGTCATCTTCTATGTTAAGAAGGAAAAGCTACTGACTACTCAGAAGGAAAATCTTAAAATTTGCATCAAACATTTTTACCTAATTAATTCCTATTCTTCTTTCAGATTTGAACTATCACTTCCACAAGGAAGCCTTATCTGACCTTTTTAACTTGGGAAATACCACACACCATTATATATTCTTACTACTCAGTGCAATTTCCCTTCATTACACTTAACACAGTTATAATTTTAAATATGTTGCATGATTCCTTTTTTACAAAATTTTGATTGTTGACATTTTCAAACACAAAAGGAGAACAGTAAAATGAAGCCTATGTATCCATAGTTATGTGATTCTCTAAAGAATTACCATTCCCATTATACTGAATTCTATGGAAGCAGGTACTTTGCTTTTCTTTACTACTATATCTCCCACACATAGCATAGTTCATGGAACACAGTGGACAATCAAAAACACATTGTTTAATGATGCATAAAAACAAAAACTGTAGTGGGAGGCACTCTCTTATCATTTTACTAAAATGAGCTAATATGTCCATTCAAGATCTCAATTTATTCAGCTACACAAAGGTGTACTCTGAAAATACTTCATCAGCTTGGCAGCCCCATTGGTTACCATGTATAGGTTTTTCTCCTGAGATTCTTTTTCCTACGGATGAAGGAACAAAGTATTGGTAAATGCTGCCCCAAAATCTTTGCAAGATAATGTTTTCCTTTACAACAAAAAATCTCATAGAACTTAAGTGCCAACAAACTACTTGTTGAGTACTTAAGTAGAAAGGTTCTCCTGCACTTAGATACTGAACACTTAATATTGACTTACGGCAGTCTGTCAGTACAGTGCAACACAATGATTCATACACAGTCAAGGAGAACTGGCATGGTCTCATGGAACTAACCAAGAAAACAAATAGTAACAAGAGTCAAATAGGGACTGAGAGAAATCCTCTGGAATAATCACCACTGTAGCATGGGAAGAAAGAATCAGTAACAAAATCAGTGGTAGTTGAAGTAACTATGGCTGAAGACATCGCAACTTGACAGGATCTGAGGAGAGGAAAAGAACCTGTTCATTAATGCACAATGGTAGGAAAGTATTCCATAGGATCTCTGTGACAGGCCCAAGTATTGTCCTGATTTAGTTAATTCCTCACACTAACTAAGGCATGCTGAAATTAGCTCATCTCCAAGTGGCAACTCTTACCACAAATGTTCTTCTTACATGTCCTCTGGATTTGGGGAGGTTTTATTTTTCTTTTTTTTTTTTTTTACTTTAAATGCACTCACAAATTACTTGGGATACTGGAAATAGCCTCAAACACTTTTGAGGTTTATATGGAAAGAAAGAAAGAAATCTGCAAGAGTAAAAACAATAAATTTTTTTTACCTATTTAAGTTAATGTCTGCAGGAGCCCAGAGGACGTGACAAGAACTTTGAAGTCCATCACGACCAGCTCTACCAATCTCCTGATAATATGATTCCATGTCCTTAGGAGCACCGTAATGAATGACTTGGCGAATGTCAGCTTTATTAATGCCCATTCCAAAAGCTATGGTAGCTATGACACACTGAGAACAAATCACAACACAGTTTGACAAACATATTTAGCAGAATGAAAACCTTACATTTATACCTTTTTGTAAGAATAATTTGTTCGTTAACTTAAGTCCCTGGCACAAAGTGGAATTCAATGTGATTTCAACCAATCATTTACAGATTATCTGCCTGATTTACAGATTAAGGACTGGTGACTAGAAATGGGATTTCTGTTCACTCTCTATAAAAAATAGTAAATAAAGTGGTCTATCTGAACTCCTATGAATACAAGACACAAAAGGGGTTCAAAATATTTATTGTGTTAAAGAAAACTTTTGCATTATAATGAAGTTTCAAGCGTCCTTACCTGATTGCAGAGTATTTTAACATTCTCTAATATTAATCTAAGATGGAAGCTTCTCATTAAAGATGGTGGGATGAAACATAATGCATTATCTCTGCATCTTTAAGAGGGTAAAATTGATAGAATGTCTCATATCTATGAATATACTGAGGTAAGTTTACACAATTGTGGGAAATTTTAGGGAAGAATTAGTGATAAGACATAGAAAATTTTTTTTTAGGTAATAACAATAAAAATACAAATAGATAAGAAAGAAAAATAGCCATAATATACTACATGGCTCAGAGATCATAAAAAGCATTTACAGAGTAATAATTATGTAAATCGTATACACTAATCTAGCCAAAATTATGACATAAACATATTAGGAGGAAAGGGGGTTAGAAATACATGGACAAGGTAAGAAAAAAGGGCAGTTAAGAATGTGAAAGAGAGCTAACCTTTCATCTTTCAGAGAGAAGAGTCGATAAATAATGCCTACGACTAATACACAAATAAACAAAAAATTAAGTAGGAGCCAGGTACATAAACTATGGCAAGATATAGTGGTAAAGTACCAAAAGAATCAGCTAAAAAGGTTGTGAATGGGAAACAGAAGTGGGAAAGACATGAGGCCTTGAAGTTTTTTACTGTAAGAACAGTAGACCTATCTGCATGCCATTTCATAAAGAAAGATTACATGCTAAGATGGACCAGGAATACGAAAGGAAGAGAAAAGAAGGAAAGAAGAAAAGAAAGGAGGGAGGAAAGGAGGAAAATGCTGAGTAAGTAAAAGAAAGTATGAGAAAGGTGAGAAAAAAGTAAATATAGGAATGAATATCATACTAAGTAAAAGCTCTGGCTGAATAAGACTCAGCAATTTTTTGATATATGTAAGAGTCAATAAGCAACACAATAATAATTCTAATTTTAATTATATGGTATTATTTTTAGGTGAGATCAACCTATTTTACAGACATGATTTTCAAACTATCCTTATAAACTCTCAGGTGTAAAGACATTTTATCAAATAATTTATTCACAACATCATTCCTAAAAAGAAAGGACTCAAGGCATCTTGAAAGGGGAAATGAAATACAAAAAGATACGAAACTAATAAAAGTGAGGATTAAAAGTAAAAATGAATGTTCAAGACTAAAAATGCCTATCTACATGCAAATGTGTTTGGATCTGGTTATAAAAATAAGAAAGAAAAGTATACTTTTTTCTAAAATTATAAAAGAAAATTTAAGATTCTAAACATCACTCAGTGTAAGACATTAAGAGCTACAGCTGTCACCTCCACTTTTAGAGCCACACTAAGGTATATAACAACTGTAAAAACACACAAAAGTGAATATCTAGAATTCTATACATTATGCACTCAGTAGGTATTCAATTCTCGGTAGCAAGTAATCAATTGCAAGAACACCTGACTATTCTACATAGATGATGAAACATACTTTCATCATCTTTACAAAGTGTTTGAGAACTTTCAATGCAAATATGAAGCTTTTGAATTCTTTATAATGGCAAAGTAGGAGTACATTGGGCCAGCTGTCAGATAAAACAAAATATCTGATATCAACGTAGGGAGAAAAAACCATATCAATTTTTAAATTTTCGTAATGTGGATAAAAATTTGTGACATCCTGCCACAGCAAGGGAGAATACCGCAACACATACATGCATATACTCTTCCAGAAATTAGGTGTAATTAATGATCATTGTGAAGTTTCCTAAGCCATATTTCAAAGCATTACTGTTTTAATGAAGCTGTGAATTGGCAGGAAAATCAGGCGCATCCAACAAAGTCTCCTGTCACAACGTAACATGAATAAAGTTTGTATTCTTTCATGTTCTGGGAGATGTTTTACTCTAAATGAATAATTACTAATACATTAAGATAGAAGAAACCATTGGTCAGTTAATGGCTTGAAGATTGATTATTAAGATTCAGTAGTACCAGTAGTAGCTAATAAATGTCATTTGACAATATTCAAGACACTGAAATAACAGAACAAAAATATAAACACTGAAGAATTTGGATAAAATTTCTATTCTAAACAGCTGTGAATGGTATTCTTATCTTTGGAAAGAAGGAAAAGAGAGACCAGATGCTTTCAGGCGGGTATGCATTACAGCATGACTATGTGTAGTGAACTTTATAGACAGTGAATATGAATCATACTTAAGCTTTTCAACAACACTGATAACAACTAGATATCAGAAAAGGAGATGGATAGAGAAGAAATGGATGACCGGTGGGACAGAAAATGCAAGAGCTGAAGTTAAATTCCTAACTTCAGGAGAGGGCTCTTCCTCGGACTTATAGTTACAGTGTGGATTTCATGTTGACAGTGTCAAGTTGTTGACTTAAACCTACTCATGTGCCTTGAACTTAAATCCTCCCAAATAAATCCTCTATGACACCCACTGAGCCAGTCCAATCAGGTCAGGAATCTCAACTGTAGAATTTCACAATAGCTGCATCGATACCCTTTCCCTTCTTCAGTTTCTCTTCTTCAAATCAATCCAACTTATTGCTGCCAGTCTAATGTTTCTATAATCCTATTATCTTATTTAAAAACACAGAGTAGTACATCAAGATGGTTTTCAAATGATTCTGCGGCACTCCAAGGATTATAAGACCCCAACAGGGAGTGTCTTCAAGGTCTAGAGACGAGACTCTTGTACCTCCTTTTCCCTCACATTAACTTCAGCCAGAGTTATTCTACTTTAATCCGTTTTACCTATTACAGAAAATTGTATCTAAACTAAAAATTCTAAGGCTAAAGTAGTCAGTGAAAACTAACAGGTATATGATACCAAGCCCAGACTGCTTCTTTGCAAGTTTTAAAGCCATCTATAACCTGGCCAACCGACCCATTCAACTGTTCTCTCAAGTCTCTAACGGTTCCACCCTGCCTCTTTGTCCATACTTTGTGCCATTCCTACCCCACATTGTCTTTCCCTCCAACCATTCCATACCAGTCACATTTCCTGAACCCAGTATGTGTTCTCATATCAAAGTGTCTTTGCACCTGCTAGTCCTTCTTCCTGGAATTCTATAACCAATTCCTTTCCCCTCATCACCTACTGGCCTGGCATACTTGAAAAACTTCTACTTACATGTTTGGACTCTAATTGAATTTTCCTGGATGGACCACCCCCATTACACAACTACCTTGACAGAGCTATTCCTCCCTCCTCTGTGCACCTAAGCACTAGGTACAGATTGCTATTTATACTAATCTGCAAGTTTGTTCTCCCACATTTATCAGAGGGACTGCTTTATGTTCAACACAAAGAAAGTATTCAATAAAGATCTGGTAAATAAACATTTGAGAAATATCCACTTCCACTATGAGCAACGGAGAGCAATGATGATTGATCCTCATACCTGAATTTCATCTCTTACAAACCTATGATGAATGTCTTTCCTTGTGCTAAAACTCATGCCCGCATGGTATGTTCCACAGGATAGATTCAGTTTCCTAAGTTCACCTGTAACTTGTTGTGTCATTTTTCTAGAAGGACAGTAGATGATTGTTGGACCTTCAAATTCCCAGTGGGAACTAAAGAAAAAGAAGAACAAAAGAGCAAACATATATACTTTATACATGCTTCAGACCCGTTTGGTTTTATCTTATTTAATTCTTCCTTTCTACCTTCTAAAGAAAAGACTAAAGGAAGAAAGCCTATCAAAAATAATGATATATTTAAGTGCATGAAAATTTAAAACATTATGGAGAATCAAATATCCAAATGAATTGTGTGAAGTCCCCAAAACTCAGTTTTGACTGTTTCAGTTCAAATTAAAGCTAAAACCAGAAACAAATTTATTTGTTTTAGCTGAAACCTTGATAAAAACTTATAAACGACAGATACAAATACTTTGGGGAATGCAAGGCACCAGATTAACAATTAGTCTGGTGAGGGTTTACAAAGGAGTGTGCATAAAACTTGTTACACTGTTCTTATTCTTGCTTATGATAATAAAGCTGAGTTTCTAAATGTTTACTAAAGCAAGAGCTTTCTTATAATATTGAAAGATTGCTTTTACAGTTCAAAGAAGTATTTACTAGTAATCTTGAGACTGAATGTTATAGAAAACATCTGTTAGAATGTATTTTGTAGAAACTTGTGCTTCTTTATTAAAAGCGTAAACGATTTCCATAGAAGTATAAACAACTTAAATGTTCAATTTCCACAGAATATTTTACTTAACGCCTAAAAATATTCATTTACATAAGTGCATTCATTTATGCTGACAATATAAAAAAGACTATACTATTTTAGATTTAGGAAAAGTTAATCAATTTCAAGTGCATATAACTTTTGATCCAATTTCAATTTTAGGATTCTAATTTACAAAAATATTTGCTTATTGGCCAAAAGATAAATGTAAACAAATATTCACTGCAACATTATAATAGTAAAAAGTCATCTAAATGTTCATCATTATCTACACTCATACTAAGAAATATTAAGCAAACATTTAAAAATTAAACATTAAAAAAATTATAAAACCTTTAAGGACTGTGGCAAAAGCCACTGAAAACTTAAGCAGAGGAAACAAGGCAATAATTTCACTACAAGAGTCATACTGAATAATCTGTTCAAATCTATTTTTGACAGCAACCAAATGGGCTTCAATATCAAAAATTCACAGTGAACTACTTAATGGAGTGAAAAATGTAAGTTTTCTTTTAGTGTATAAAAATCTTATTTTAAGGCCAGCACAGTGGCTCACGCCTGTAATCCCAGCACTTTGGGATGCCAAGGCGGGCGGATTACCTGAGCTCAGAAGTTCGAGACCAGCCTGGCCAACAAGGTGAAACCCCGTCTCTACTAAAAATACAAAAATTAGCAGGGCATGGTGGCATGCACCTGTAATCCCAGCTACCCAGGAGGCTGAGGCAGGAGAATCGCTGGAACCCAGGAGGCAGAGGCTGCAACGAGCCAAGATCCCGCCACTGCATTACAGCCTGGGCGACAGAGCAAGACTCCATGTCAAAAAAAAAAAAAAAAAAACCTTATTTTAAAAACATGTTTTCAAAGAAGAAAAAACTACTCAACAAAACCTAGATATTGTAATATCCTATATATTAAGGCTCTAATTTAAGAAAATGCAATATATGGAAAGATAGCAGATACTTTAAATGAAAAAAAATTTGCATAAATAATGGATATAGTATGCAACTATTTCTGTATCAACTTAACAACAACAAAAAACTGCAACTATATATCTGCACAGTAGTAGGGTCAGAGAAAGGAAGTCTACATAAATGCCAAAATACCAACAGTGATCACAACTGAGGTACGGAATTAGAAAATTGGAGTCCTTTTCAATTTATATGCAACAGTGTTGCTCAAATTGATATTGACTACATATCACTCTTTTTTAAAAAAGGTGGAAAATATGTAAAAATTTGAACTTATGTAACAGATAAATCAAAAGAGTAAAAATTCCTATTACAAAAGGAGCCATTATTTTGCCAAGTGATTTGCTACAGACTTTTATTTCCTCTTAATTTTCTGAGGGGAGAAAATTCTAATCTAATCTAACCACTAAATTATATGAGAGACTCATCTATCTCACTTAAATGTACTATGAATATATTATAATTAAGACTTTAACAAAATAGGGTTAGTTTAAGAAACACCTTAGCTCAATGGATAAAAATACTTGAATACTGATAAACAAATTAAAGGAATTTAGCAGAATTAAAGGAAGGGAAGAAGATGGAAATAACGGGCAATGCTCTGAAGCCTTAATTACCCTCTACCTCACTGCTCATGAAGAGGAAAGTTTCTGTTCACCTAAGATCTGTAGAAAGCATTCTGACTCTCAATGGTTTCCTGCTATCCTAAGTCTTCTTGGAGGATTAAAAATGGGTACAAAAATCTTTCTTGATCTCCTTAAAAAAAAAAATTCATATTAAATACCTAGATCTTCAATACTGTTGAATGTTACACTGAGTCTGGTCTTTATTTCCTAGTAAGGAGTTCCAGAAAGGTATTCCAGACTTAAGGATGTGTTTGCAGACAATAATTTGTAAACTGCATAGAAAGCAACAAGGGGCACTGGGGAGAGGGGTATCTGTTGGGGAAATTATAATAGTCTCGGCTAAAAAGTAACAAAGACCTCAATTAGCAGAGTCAACATGAAAAACAGAAAGAAACATTTGCATAGGATTATAAGAGGACCAGGACGTCAGAAAACCAGGAGAACAATATTACACACAAAAAAGGCAAACTGCTTTAAAAAGGAGAGTGTTATTATAAGGGAAAGTGCCATAGAGAGTGTTATTATAAGGGAAAGTACCATAGAGACTGAACAGGATCAAAGATTAGGAGGAGATAATGATCTGACTGTGGAGACTCTAACCTAGGACAAACAGCCTTCTTCAAAAGAACTTTTCCTCTTTAGGATGAAAGGGAAGTGAAACACAGTGAGTACTCACTTCAGAGAGCACTAGAATGGCCAGAACACTCAGAATATATTCGATCCATTCTTGTTTTATTCTGAATATAGGACAAGAAAGCCAGGAGCAAATCCTACATTTCAATTATTCCTTAAGGTCCTCAAGAATAACTCCAGGATTTTCTTGGCCTAGCATCAATATTCCCTTTAGAGGAAAACACCAATGATGTTCTTTAAACTCTATTTGTCTATGCTTGTTTTGTGTTTGTATTGGTAGAAGCTTTTTTTTTTTTTTTGAAACGGGGCCTTGCTCTGTCATCCAGCCTGGAGTACAGTGGTGTGATCTCAGCTCACTGCAGCCCCAACATCCTGGGCTCAAATGATCCTCCCACCTCAGCCTCCCAAATAGCTGGGACTACAGGCATGCACCACCATGCCCAGCTAATTTTTGTATTTTTTGTAGAGACAGGGATTCACCATGTTGCCCAGGCTGGTCTCGAACTCCTGGCCTCAAGTGATTCTCCAACGTCTGCCTCCCAAAGTGCTGGGATTCTGGGTGTGAGACACCATGATTGGACAAGAAGCATTTATTTTAATGTTTAAAATTATAAACTGGCCAGGCGCAGTGGCCAACACCTGTAATTCCAGCACTTTGGAAGGCCAACACAGGTGGATCACTTGAGGTCAGGAGTTCGAGATCAGCCTGGCCACCATGGTGAAACCCCGTCTCCACTAAAAAATACAAAAATTAGCCTGGCATGGTGGCGCACACCTGTAATTTCAGCTACTTGGGAGACTGAGGCAGGAGAATAGCTTGAACCCAGGAGGTGGAAGTTGTAGTGAGCCGGGATTGCGCCACTGCACTCCAGCCTGGGTGACAGAGCAAGACACTGTCTCAAATAGTAAAATAAAGGCTTATAAAAAGTAAAATATAGGCTTTTGAAAACTTCTTAACATATATATTTAAAATGCCTTTAAACAAAATAAACAGAAAAAAGTACTAATGCCAGTTTCCTCAACAATAAAATGAAAATAATACGTAACTTACTGAGCAGTTATAGGGATTAAATTAGATCATTTTATATAGAAAGCGCCTACAATAGTCCTTGGAACACAATACAGGCTCCACTGTGTTTGTAAGGTGACCTTTTCTAAGCTCCTTAAGACTGAAGTCATGTAATTAGTAAACTAGACAGAATTCAGATGAAAGAGTCATTTTATGTTTGCTTGTTTACTTATCAATCATTAAAAGTATATGTCCTAGCCAGGCATGGTGGTGCAAGACTGTAGTTCCAGCTACTTGGGAGACTGAGGCAGGAGGACTGCTTGAACCCAGGAGTTTGAGGCTGCAGTGAGTTGTGATCACACCACTGCACTCCAGCCTGGACGACAGAGAGACCCTGTCTCTATAAATAAATAAGTAAAATTTTAAAAAATAAAAATAAATAGTATATGCCCTGTTTAAGCAACAGAATGGGGTATTAAAATATTAGGAGAATTGGTTTCTGCTTTTAAAAATACACTAGTCTCAATCACTGAATTGATTATATAACATCATGCTTGACTTGAACCAAAACTAGGTGGAATTTGAAATATGTTAAATATGCATTAGAAGGAAATCGTAAATAACATAAAATACATAAGTTGTTAAAAAAAAAAAAAGGAAATCATTACCAAAATTCATCAACCATTAAATCCTTACCTTGTTTTGACAAGAAATGGCTGCAGATCCTGAAGGATATTCCCTGTTTTTCGCCTAACTTCTAAATACAGGTTTGGTCGATCAAAACCAGTACAGGTGATCTGAGGATTTCTCAGATTTAAGCAACGTACAATGTCTTCCCGGATTGAAGAACTTGCAGTAGCAGTAAGTGCAACGATTGGAACCTGAATGATGTAAAACTGATATTTTAAAAAGGAAAGAGCTCATTCATTCCCAACATGTCTATAGCTTTCTTACAAAGAGACTGGTAGGACAACAGTTTGTGGTACAATGTTAAAGACACAACTGTAAAATTTTTTTGCAAAGAAAAAATCTCCCTACTAACTTGTTTCTCAGCCTTCTGGAAACAATATTTACTTTTTAAAAATCAGAAATCATTTAAATAAAACATTAAATCCATGAGGTTTCCAAATGCCATTTACTTTGTCTTATTAAATTAAGCCTACTTGTTAGCTATCTACTTCTCCATTTATTATTTTTTAACATTACATTTGAAATGGTGCTGATATAAGCAGGGGGGTATATTATGCCTTATATTTGATTAATGTATAATTACAAATGATAAACTCTCAATTCACTGAAAATCTAACTATATAAAGCAATGGTCGTTTTTTTTTGGCCTCCTATTTTAAATATATAGGTTTATGGCTTCACAAATCTAGAAGCAAAGCTCCAATGACCCAGATAACCTCTCTTCAGTGGTACTGAGATAATCAATAACATACTATATATAGGAAATATGTATAAATGAAACGTATTATTAATTGATTGCTAGCAAAGGCTTCTTGACTGGATTGGCAGACAGAGCAGGAGACTCAGCAGTTATCAGGAAAAGCATGAATATGTCATCTTCCAGAAATTCTAAGGTACGGTAACAACATGCCTCCCCTAAAACTAGAACTCGTGTTTTTATTCTATTATAGGAAATTACACTTAACTATGGTATTATTTCATAATCAGAAAAAGTGGACTGTCTTACAGTTGTTTCTAAATTATCAGCTGTTCTATCACCAAGAATATAACTTTCTTAAAAATATTCTTTTTGGCTCGTGACAGATACAAGAAACAATATTCTCATAAAATAGCTCTTCAGATGCACTGCATCTATTATACAAACCAACCATAGCAATTATCTTGTATATAAGTGGAAATGTATGTGCAATTTACCAATTTGCAAAGAAGCACTTCTAGAATATGACTCAAAATTAAAACAAGATCAATTTATTAAAAATTATAAACTACTTTTTCAATCACTATAACTTTACTGAATTAAAAATTATCTCCAAACTTATATTTAAAAAAATCAATTAAGTTTAAGAGTAGGTTTTTTCAAATTAAAAAAATTAAATCAAAACTAATGTGATGAGATAATTGGCATCATTTTTGCATTCTTTATCCTTAAATTTTGTGACACTATTTTAAAAGGCAACCCCAAAATTAATTTCATTGATTTGTGGCTTACAATCAGATTGTTCTCTGAATTTACAGTGCCTGCCTAGCAACTTAAAGATGAACAAGCTAATCTATAAAGAGGTTGGTTTCTCTAATTAACCCCTAACATGGGTGCATCTGTGTTAACACACAGGTTTTAACAAATATAAGGCTGAGAATAAGGGAGGTTTAAAAATTAGAGGTTCTTAGAACATGCACATTCTCACACAGTAAAGCACTTTCACCGGTTAAGTGTTTTGGTTAAATAATTTATATAAATGCACTAATAAAACACTTGTTTAACCACATATTAAAAACAGTGATTTTCAGGATACAGTCCATAAGAAAACAGGGTTGGGTTTGTTTCTAAGCAATATAATGTATAAGTGAGCAGGTAATATATTTATGAAAATGAGGAAGTAAGCATGAAACATGACATATATTTAAGAAGTTAACAGAAAAACCAGGCAAAAGAATGGCAGCACAGTGAAAAAAGTCTGTTTTGGAATCAGATTGCTTGAGCTGAAATCCTGTTTTTGCCACTTACTAGATGTGAGATTTTGAGCTCTTTATTTAACTCTCTAAGCTTCAGTTTCCTCATCTATAAAATGGCTACAATAACAGTGCCAATCTCATAAAGTTGTGAATATCAAGTGAGATAAAACATGTAAAGTGCTGAACATAATGCATGAAATAAAATATAGTAAGCACTCAAAAAGTTTCAACTATCATAAATATTGTTATTAAAATAAATAAAAAGAATTCTATATAACAACTTCAGAGACATGAGTACTACTCCCAGATTTGCAACTGACATTTGCAAGGGCTCAGTTTTTTCAGCAAAAAAAATGAGATGGAGACGGCTATATGATGTGTTAGACCCTTCCAACTTAAAAATTCCCATCTTGCTACCAGAAATTCCCTATTCCAGCAATCTGGTAACAGTGAAAATCACTATAAATTTACTCTTTTGCCTCAACATTCTAGAAAGATATAGCTAAGAATGTTGCTTCTACAATTAGAAAATAAAGTATCAGACTATATTAAAAATTAATAGTACTTCGTTACTACTAAACAAGCTAGTACTTCGTTTTCATTGGATACATTTTCAGCATCATGAGTTGTCACAGCCTCTGAGCCCCTGATCTTAAGCCACAAGGGCTGAGTGTATTGTAAACTTATTCTTGCATGTTGCTGTCTGGGAATAGACCACACTACAGCTGGTAGTTCTGGGGGCGGTACTGCCGAAAGGCCTGAACACATGTATTTTGGCTGCAATTGAGGAACTTGGGATGCTGACTATTAATTTTGTATTTCAGCAACTGCCCCTTCTCCTATCCCAAAGAACCAATTACTGCCCTCTGCCTCAGCAGTACCAGTATAAGATGACATTCCAAAGACTGGAGGCAACTCAGCCTGAGTTAATTCACAAAATTGTGCCATGCTGGGGCTTGAACTTGAGCTTGGGCTTAGGCTTGGGCTCAGCTTTTGACCCTCAGGCATCTCCTTTCCCTTCCTGCCTTCCTCTCCCTTCTCCTCTGCTGCAGCATGATTTTCTTAATCTTCAGACACTCACTATTTTCATGAACAGTTACCCTCCGGCCCCACAACCAAAGACAACTCATGGCCTCCTTTGGCCCTTGTGTAACACTGCAAACCTGTGGCTTTGCAAAATGTACCCAGGTCACAAGGGGATTTTTTTTTTTAGCAATGATATCCCTTTCTGGGTCACTTTTTAAGCTTATAACCAGACTTATAATCTTAAATGTATTTTTCCTTTGATTAAGCTGCTGCTTCCTCTGTTTCACTGGATTGTGCTAGTTATCAGTGGTTCTTGGGTTCAAAGTAATAAGAATTCCAAAACTGGAAAAAAAAATAAATAAATAAAAATTAATGATAAGCTTCCACTTCAGCAATGAATAGAACCTTTTCTCTTATAAGTATGTGGTATTTTATGACATTTAAAATATATAAACTAGAGTGAAGCTTAAAAACAACACACAGGCAGGCTGAGAAAGGTGACAATACATCCTCATTTGCCAGGACATTCCCAGTTTATGCCTGCAGTCACAGCATAATTATTAATAGCTTGAACTCTTTAATTTTCAGAAGCAAACTGCTTTGGGTAATAAATTATACTGTCATTTAGTTCTTAACTCACAAAATGTATTCTTTAAGTTGACAGGTCTTAATTTCTTTTTTAACAGGCAGCAAGTTTTGCTAAATCAAACAACCAAATATAAATTAATCTTAGACATATACTTCAATGGTGTGGTGCCCACAGACTGAGAAAAGTATAAGTATCCCACCTGCTTCTAAATTCAGGTCATGTTGCTAATTCTAACTTTGTACTCCATAACATCACACATACTTCATTCATTCATGCACTCATTCTAAATAGTTACTGAGTACCTACTATGTGCTGATCTTTGTAATAGATACTGGGGAGAAAGTAATAGAAAAACCCCACATGTCTTATGGATTTCACAATTCCTCTTACTTGAAATGTAAAGAACTTTAAGACTGATGCAAAGCTTTCTGCCTGGCTGTTCTTTCTCAACACTCACTTTGTCTGATTCCTTCCAAATAGGAATCTTTGTGCCAAACAGCTTAGTGATTTCTGCTGTTTTTGAAATTACTGAAATAATATAGTGTGAAACATTCCAGGTTTATAGCAGTTGTCCTAGTATAACTGGAATCAGAACGAGAAGAAAAGCACCAAGAACAGTGAGAAAAATGATACTACTATAACCACCAGGTGGCATGTCTCACCACTTAGCTAATAAAGAGGGTTCTTGAAAACACCAGGGGAAAAACGTTTTCTCAGCCACTGCTCGGCCAACACCCTCCCCGCACTGGAGGCCCAACAGAAGGAATGTGCTTTATTAATCCTCCCAAGAAATGAAAATGATCCAATGACGTCCATGGCCAGACATAATAAAAGATTTAATTCAAGCTTAACAATGTTTAAGAACTGTATAAAATATTTAAAACTCCTTTAACACAATCCTTCTAGAATCAAAGGCCTAGGAAAGGATTACAGAAAGTAATCTTCCTAGTTTCCAAAAGCTTACTTTAAACCATTCTAAATTAATGGAAATCGGTCCTCCAGGTGCACTGTGCCTAGTGACTTTCACCACAGAAATCCCTTCTAAACATGTACTACTAACACTGTTCATCTTTTTATATTATTTGTACCACTTCATAATACCATATTTCATTTGGTGCTATTACTTCTACTGTTATAGGTATGAATCTAAACTCCTTTACTGAACTATGAGCTACCTGAGGGCAGAAATTATGTTTTATGCCTCTTTCAAATCATTTGCTTTAGAAACTAGCAGGATGTTGTATGGTGCAGCTATTTATGGCCCAACTCTATACTGCCCACTACCTGTTTTGGAAAGTCACTTTACTGATTCTCAGCTTTCTCATCATCATTCATTCATTCATTCACCCCATTATAAATTGAGCACCTCCTATAAGCCAGGTATTGTTCCAGATTTTATAAACCAAACAATCAAAAACTCCTCCCTACAAAGAATATTCTAGTGAAGAAGAACTCACAGAAAATTAACAAAATATAACACAGTAAGTTAGACAGTGATAGTGCTATTTTTAAAACAGCAAAGATTTACGAGGAATGCTGAATGATGGGGGAGGGGGAACTAATCTGATATTTCAAATATGGTGGCCCAGGAGGCCTAAATCCAAGAGATCTGAGAGAAGTATGGGAGAACATCCTATAGACAATGTGGGGGAAACGTATTCAGGGAGAGGAAGCAGCAGGCGCAAAGCCCAGGCACTGAAGCATGCCTGGAATGTCCGAAGAAAAACAAGGAGGGTGGTGTGGCTGCATCCGGTGAATGAGGAGACCAGTAGAGAATGAGATCAGAGGGAAAATGGAAGGCCAGATTACATGAGGATCGGTAACTCATCATAAGGACTTTTGCCTTTATTTAGAATGAAATGGCATGCTACTAGATGGTTCTGAGCCGAAGACATGATCTATCAGACTTCATTTTTAAAGTATCACTCTGGACGCTGTGTTGAAACAGAATGAGGGATGGGAAGAGTGAAAGCAGGAGGCCCTAAGGAGATGGTGGCCCGTACCTGGGGAATGGCAGGGATCAAGAGAGAAGTGATTTAATTCTGCATATATTCTGAAGACCTCACGAGATTTCCTTACTGTTTAAATAAACAGTGGAGTGTAAGAAAAAGAGAAAAGATTGAGGAAAATTCCAAAATTTTGGCCAATGGAGCTGCTGTTAAACAAGATGGAGGAGAGTGAGGAAAGAGCAGATCTGGAGTGCTATGCAGAAGTCAATTAGGAAGAGGTTAAGTTTGAGATACCTGTTGGTCATCTCACCAGAGGCATGTTGAGTAGTTATATAGATGTGTGCCTGTGTATACACACATATATATGTACATATATTCTATTAAATGGCTAAAATGAACTAATAGTGACAACACCAAATGCTGGCAAAGAGGCAAAAACAACTGAATCACTCATATACTGCTGATATCAGTCTATGATGGAGATAAAAATTTGGGAGTCCTCAGTATAGACTTGATATTTAAAACTGTAGGCTGGACGTGGTGGCTCACATCTGTAATCTCAGCACTTTGGCAAGCCAAGGCAGGTGGATCACCTGAGGTCAGGAGTTCGAGACCAGCCTGGCCAATATGGTGAAACCCCATCTCTACTAAAAATACAAAATTAGCTAGGCATGGTGGCACGTACCTATAATCCTAACTACTGGGGAGGCTGAGCAGAAGAATCACTTGAACCCGGGAGGCAGAGGTTGCAGTAAGGTGAGTTCACGCCATTGCACTCCAGCCTGGGCAACAAGAGTGAAACTCCATCTCAAAAATAAAAAAAATAAAATAACATAAAACTGTATGTTGGGTGAAATGACCAAGAAAATGAGTGCAAAGGTAGGTCCAAAGACTAAAGTTTCTGGAAGGCCAACATTAAAAGGTCAGGGAGATGAGAAGGAACAGGAGGCTGAGAATAAAGAGACAGTAAGGAAAGAAGAAATCCATGAGTGTGTGCTGTCCTATGTGACTACTAAAGAATTATTTCAAGAAAAAGTATGAAGATTTTAATAGCTACCTTGTTGAACCATGATACTAAAATCTGACCCAAGGCCAGCCACATCATTGGAGCTCAATTCACATGGTTTGATTTTCCCTCAATATAAACTTGCTAACTAGTATATTTAATTTATTTTTGGTTTGTTGTTTTAATATCTGCTCCAACCAAACTCTGTGAGATAAGCTAACAAAAGATACTATTTTTGAGATGCCTCTCAATTTGCTATCTATAAGCAAGATTAATGAGCAATGAAATTGAACTAGACAACCTACCAAAAGAATAACAAACAATTTCTAACACAGTTTACTCACAAAATTGTGAAATCCTGGGCTCAGAAGGCACCATTGCCTCGCTACTACCAAGAAAACTTAAACATAAGCCAACTTTATTCGTTCAAAATTAATATAACAGGCTAGAGAACCCAGAAATAGACCCACACAAATACACCCACATGACTTTCAACAAAGGGGCAAACGCAATTTAACAGGGGAAGGACAGCCTATTCAACAAAGGATCTGCTGCAATTTAATCTATTGGGAAAACAATGAACCTTGACTTAAACCTCACACCTTATACAAAATTTAACTCAAAATGGATCACAGACTTAAAACATAAAACTGTAACAATTTTAGGAAAGAACCACAGGAGAAAATCTTCAGGATCTAGGGCTAGGTGAAGAGCACAATCCATAAAAGAAAAAATGATAAACTGGATTTCACTAAAATGTTAAATATTTACTCTGTGAAAGACACGGTAAAAAGAATGAAAAGGCAAGCTACAAAGTGAAAGAAATATTTGAAACCACGTATCTGACCAAGGACTCATATCTACAATGTATTTTTTAAACTCTTAAAACTCAACAGAAAAAAACAAGCACTCCAATTATGTAAGAAATTTCACCAGAGGCAAATTAGTATATGAAAAGACGTTCACCATCATTAGCCATGAGAGAAATGCAAATTAAAAGTGAGATACCACTCGACACCTATCGAAATGGCTAAAATAAAAAACAGTTGCAACAACAAACGGTGGCAAGGATAACTAGATCATTCACACACTGCTGACAGGAATGTAGAATGCTACAGCCACTTTGGAAAACAGGTTTGTGACAATTCCTTAAAAACTAAAAATACACTCCTGGACATTTATCCCAGAGAAATGAAAACTTTTATATTTTCAGGTTGTTTAACCATTCACCCATTAAAGAATCTCTGAAGGCCGGGCGCAGTGGCTCACGCCTGTAATCCCAGCACTTTGGGAGGCCGAGGCAGGTGGATCACGAGGTCAGGAGATCGAGACCATCCTGGCTAACACGGTGAAACGCTGCCTCTACTAAAAATACAAAAAATTAGCCGGGCACAGTGGCGGGCGCCTGTAGTCTCAGCTACTCGGGAGGCTGAGGCAGGAGAATGGCGTGAACCCAGGAGGCGGAGCTTGCAGCGAGCCGAGATCGCGCCACTGCATTCCAGCCAGGGTGACAGAACCAGACTGTCTCAAAAAAAGAAAAATAAATAAAAAAAAATAAAGAACCTTTGAGATATGAACAAATGTTCATAGCATCTTTATTCATAATAGTCAAAAACTGGAAAACAACCCAAAAGTTCTTCAACAGGTGATCAGTTAAACTGTGGTACAACCATACTGTGGAATACTCTGTAATAATAAAAAGGAACAGACCACCGAAAAATAGTCATGTGGTACTTAACGGCATTTCTGTCAATGACAGAGCACATGTGGAACAGTGGTCCCATAAGATTATAATGGAGCTGAAAAATTCCTATCACCAAGTGATGTCATAGCCAGCATAATGTCTTAGCACAAGGCACTGCTCACGTTTGTGGTGATGCTGCTGTCAATAAACCTACTGCACTACCAGGCATTAAAAAGTATAGCACATACAATTATATACAGTATATAACTTGATGAATAATAAACAAGTATGTTACTGGTTTACGTATTTACCTATACCCTTTTCCATTATTTTAGAGTATACTCCTCCTACGTATTCATTTTTTAAAGTTAACTGAAAAACAGCCTCAGGCAGGTCCTTCAGGAGGTATCTAGGAGAAGGCATTGTTATCACAGATGACAGCTCCATGAGTGTTACTGCCCCTAAAGAACTTCCAGTGGGATAAGACGTGGAGGTGGAAGACAGCAACATTGATGATCCTGACCCTGTGTAGGTCTAGTCTGATATGTGTGTATTTTAGTTTTTAACAAAAAAGTTTTAAAAATAAAAATAATAAAATTTTAAAATAAAGCCTTATGGAATGCATTAATCAAGGAAGAAAAAATTTTTGTACAGCTGTACAATGTGTTCATGTTTTAATCTAAGAATTATTACAAGAGTCCAAAGTCAAAAAATGTTTTAGGTTTATGAATTAAAGTTACAGTAAACTGAGATTAATTTATTATTGAAGAAAGAAAATTTTTAAAGAAAATTTTAAAAATTTAGTGTCGCCTAAGTGTACAATATGTATAAAGTCTACAGTAGTGTACAGTAATGTCCTAGGCCTTTACATTCACTCGCCACTCCCTCACTCACTCAGAGCAACTTCCAGTCCTACAAGCTCCATTCACAGGAAGCACCCTATACAGGTATACCATCTTTTATCTTTTATACTGTATTTTTACTGTGTCTTTTCTACATTAGATAAGTTTAGATACACAAATACTTACCATTGTATTACAATTGCCTGCAATATTCATTACAGTAACATCTGTACAGGTTTACAGCCTAGGAGCAATAGGCTCTATCATATAGCCTAGGTGTGCAGTAAGCTTTATCATGTAGGTTTGTGTAAGTCCATGTTCAGACAACCACAAAATGTCCTAAGAACACATTTCTCAGAACATATCCCTGTTGTTAGGCAACACATGACCACAAACAACTTGGATAGATCTCAAGGTAGTTATGTTGAGTGAAAAAAACTAATTCCAAAAGGTGACAAATTGCATGATTCCATGTATATAACATTCTTGAAATAATATTTTAGAGATAGAGACCAGATTTGTGGTTGCCAGTGGCTAGGGCCAGGGGTGGGAAGAACAGCTCCAGGGAGCTTTGTGGTAAGGGAACATTTGGCATCCTGACTGCAGTGGTAGTTACACAAATGTACATGAGATTAAACTGTATAGAACAATACACATGCCATACAAAAGAGTACTTACAAAACTAGAGAAATAGGAATAAACTCTAGATACTGTACAAATGTCATATTCCTAGTTTTGATATTGTACTATAGTCACACAAGATGTTACTGTTCAGGAAACTGGATGAAAGGTACATAGGACCTCTATATAGGTATTTTTTTTTTTACAACTTCTTGTGAATCTACAATTTTCAAAATAAAAAATAAAACAGTGCTATTATTGTGGGTTTTTAAACCATTCATGTAAATATGCCAATCATGTAGAATATTCATGTAAAAATTCACTTTTTTTTTTTTTTTTTTTTTTTTTGAGACAGAGTTTCGCTCTTGTTGCCCAGGCTGGAGTGGAATGGCACAATCTCGGCTCACTGCAACCTCCACCTCCCGAGTTCAAGCAATTCCCCTGCCTCAGCCTCCCAAGTAGCTGGGATTACAGGCACCTGCCACCACGCCCAGCTAATTGTTGTATTTTTAGTAGAGACAGGGTTTCACCATGTTGACCAGGCTGGTCTCGAACTCCTGACCTCAGGTGATCCACCCACCTCGGCCTCCCAAAGTGCTGGGACTACAGGCGTGAGCCACCATGCCCGGCCAAAATTTGCTATTTTTTATAATTAGGGAAGAAAGGGAAATTCTAATACCAAAAGCTTTAATAAAATTTCTATAGAATAGTTCAAACTTTAGGTTTTCAATGTGATACAAGAAGGGGTAACCAGGATTTCACAGCATCCTAGAGTAAAAGGACATACGGATGAAAGATCACTGAGAAGACATTCGGACAAATATGGCCCACAGCCTGTTTTGTTATGGCCCACCAGTGAAAAATGTAACTCTTTATATTTTTAAAGGGTTACTAAAAGAAAAAACAGAGAGAGGAATATGTGATACAGACTACATGTGGCCTATAAAGCTTGAAATATTTATTATCTGGTCCTTTCAGAAAAGGTTTGTCAAGCCTTGTTCTATTATATTCCTCAATAGATTATATACCAACTTTAGCATTTTTAAAAAAATAGTTCTCTTTTTACATTATCCATTTGCTCTTTTATAGTGAAGTCTTCAGCTTCTTTACCACTCCCCAATCCTGAATGCTCTCCTTATTAAGAATGTAATTTCGGGACATCAGACTTGGCAAAGCTTACCATTGGCAGTGCTGTCTTTAGGGAGCCCAACTTCCTGAATGAATCCCTAAAATCATGCCCCCACTCAGAAATACAGTGAGCCTCATCCACAGCAATGAGCGTGATACCTGTAAAAAAAGAAAAACACATAAAGGAAAAGATAAAGCTCGAAAGGAAAAAATAAACTCATCTACATCTCCAAAGGAGAATAAATAACCAAATCAAAGTATTTGGTTCCTATAAAAACAGAAGCATAAATATCATCATATTAACACCAAAAATCATTATTGGAAATAGGGAGAGGGGAGATATATGAATAAAAGCCTTAAGAATTTTAAAAGGAAATATTTATGTATTAATCCAAACAAGACATTTATTGGATCTCAGCTTTCATCACTATTCCTTGGAGAGATGAATTGCTTACTGTGACTTTGCCTCCAAAACTATCCACCTGCATTTCTCCTTGGTAATACCTTCAATTTTATCTCATGCATTAGCTATTAAAAGAGATAAAAAGAGTCAGCAAATTTCTACTGAAATTAACTGCATCGCCATCCATGATTGATCACATATCATATTGCAAAGAGTCCTCTGAAATGCCAGTACTAGAGCACAGGAGGACAGCCACATTTTCTAATGTAAAATGGTATGGGAGGAGCTAAATCACATGATGCACAAAGTAGTAAGAAGAAATGTTATTTGTTCTTTCTTCCTGTAGTAGCCTCTCTACTCCGCCCCCATACCAGACACAAACATTGAAACGGAATCAATAGTGTGTTGTAATGCATGTCAGAAAAGGATGTTATTGTAAAATCATCCGTGACAATGTTTTCAGATTTTTCACAGTAGTAACAGTAGTGCTTTTGTCCTCAATTAACAAATTGATACTTAAGAATAATTTTTTCCCTCAATGAGTATCATCATTCTTTGATACTTCTCTGAGCATTAATAATGTTCGGACACTAGGAGGAGGATGATTAAAAAGCTCTAAAGTCAGACTGCCCAGATGCAGAACCTGGCTCCACCATCTGCCATGTGTATTACCTTAAGCAAGTTACTTAAGCTTTCCAAGTCTCAGTCCTCTCACAAGTAAAATGTGGATAATAATGGTACCTAACATTTTCTAGATGCTCTAAAAATTAAATTATATCATTCACATAAAATGCTAAAATAGGGCCTGGCACACACACACAAAAATGCTACTACTCCTATTATGGTTAATAAATATCTATTATTATCCAAACACTTTTCTAGGAATAAAAAGACTAATAAAATACAATCCATGACCTGAGGAGTTCACAATTCTAAAAGAGGAGACAGACATGCAAATAAACAATTACAATTCACTAACATTACAAGCTACAACAGTCCTAAGAGAGTGTGGAGAAGAAAGACAAAAAAAAAAAACAAACAAACAAACAAAAAAAAAACCTACTAAACATGGGGTCAAAGTCAGTTATTTGTATCAAAATTCTCTGGGTACTACTGAGTGGCTGGAAAAAATTCAATATTATCACTGTTTTGGCTTTTGAAACTAAACCTGAGTGAGTGACTGATTTTTCCTTCCTTCCTTCCTTCCTTCCTTCCTTCCTTTTCTTAGGCTAAAGTGCAGTGGCGCAATCTCGGCTCACTGCAAGCTCTGCCTCCCGGGTTCATGCCATTCTCCTGCCTTACCCTCCCCAGTAGCTGGGACTACAGGCACCCACCACCATGCCCGGCTAATTTTTTCTTTTTGTATTTTTAGTAGAGACAGGGTTTCACCATGTTCGCCAGGATGGTCTCGATCTCCTGACCTCATGATCCACCCGCCTCGGCCTCCCAAAGTGCTGGGATTACAGGTGTGAGCCACCACTCCCAGCCCCTTCCTTCCTTTCTCCCTTCCTTCCTTCTCTCTCTCTCTCTTTCTTTCTTTCATAACTAGCACTGTAACAGGTACCATGCTCAGCTCATTTTTTTTTTTCAGAGATGGGGTCTCACTGTGTTGCCCAGGCTGGTCTCGAACTCCTGGGTTCAAGCAATACTCCTACTTCAGCCCAGATTTTAAATTAAATAGGTTAAAACAGAATGATGGTCTCTTTTAAAACTTTCATTTTTTAAAAAGCTTTAGTTACAGGTTTGACAAACTAGCTTTTAATGGAGCTAAACCTTATCCCTGGAAATCAGTTTAGACAAGCTTTTGCCAACATTCACTTAAGTTAAAAGTCTGGTTGGTAAGGAGCCTCCCTATAAAACTATGTTTGCTGTTTCTGTTAAAAATCCAGACTACTTAAGTAATTTAACATTTACCTAAAAATGAGGAATCTGATTAGCTAAATGTCAGACTGCTGTACAAATAATATCCTGCGTATATTCATTTTTGCAAGCATTGTACAATTTCCCGCAACAAAAGGCAAAGGAAAATATTTCAAAAATAATTTTTATTTCATGTATCCCTTTTTATTCAACACTGAGTCAACCAGAGAACATTTTCATCCATCATAAGCAAAGTACGCTGCTCTAATAATTGCAGTGTCCATAACTCATCCATTACAAAAAAACAAAAATAGAGAGTTCTAACTACTTGTCAGAAGTATTAAGTATTTGCTTAAATACTTAAGCTTATTATTCATTTAACACTATCACAGAAACAAAGCAAATAGTAAAAACGTACCCAAACCACTATGGACATAGACCCCAGCTTTTGCAATACAACCATGAAATTTATATATAGGGTAGTTATTCTTAATCCAAAGTGAAATATTCACAATAACTTCATACAACCTATTAGGAAACATATCAAATTCATTGTCCATTAAAGGCAAAAAATACAGTATGTCAATAAGGGAGTTTAAGAGCTCATAAATGTACTCATTGCTAATATATTTAATGAAATGTTAATTGCTGCCCTCATTCTTTTGTTGGTTTTAACACATAATAAAAAAGATACAAGTTTGTTTTCATTACATTGTTGGAAAAATTATCAAATGCTTTCCTACAGTTATATGAAAGTAACCATTAAATGAGACGTTGCAATTCGAAAACCTAACCTATCTGGAATTATTTGAATACATAATTATACAAAAAGATCATATGATATTGAAAAATTAAATTTGGTTAGGCCAACTGAAGGTGGGAAATAGGGGCATTTGCAATAGAAGCCATGATTGCAATTCTTGGATAGTTAAGCCTAACCACCAAGAAGAAAAAAAAATTTTTTTTGAGGCATGGTCTCGCTCTGTTGCCCAGGATGGAGTGCAGTAGCATGATCTTGGCTCACCGCAGCCTTCATCTCCCAGGCTCAAACAATCCTCCTACCTCAGCCTCCCAAGTAGCTTGGACTATGGGCATGCACCACCAGGCTCGGCCAATTTTTTAAAAAATTATTTGTAGAGATGAGGTCTCACTATACTGAGGCTTAAAATATTTTTAAGTACAAAAAAAGTGCTATCAGCTTTTGACTAATTCTATATTTACACGTTCTAGGAAATAAACTGTGACTTATCTAAGTTTTTGGTTTTTGTAATAAATCATACTCACTAGTGGCAACTAATCAAAGGTACTGTGGTTTCCAACCCGGGCTATATATCAGAATCACCTGTGAGAAACCACCAATGCCAGGTGCCAACCCAGGCCTGTTAAATCAGAATTTTCAGAGTTGGGTGTTGGTTACCTACATTTTTTTTAAAGTTTGAAAAGTGATTCTTATGAACAAAGAGGGTACAAAACCACTACACTGACTTAATTTAGATACAGAACATGAAAAACAAGTAAATTAAAATTTCACAGAACCTAGGATTCAACATTCATTCAACAATATGTTTAAGTGCCTATATGCCAAGCACTGCACTGGGGAAACATAAATTTTAAAAAGTGATATTTTTCCCTTGAAAAGTTTATAGCCTAGCAGAAGAAAACAGATATATAAACAGGTAATTATGATAACAGAGCCTAATTTCTATAGCAAAAGGAATTATAGAGTATCATGGGATAAGATAGGTGAAACAGCAAGTTAGAGAGTCAGAGATTTCCTGGAGGAAGTAATGTTTGAAATAAACTTTAACAGAAGTGAAATCCAGTGTCCATCCATAGGTTTAACTTTAAATATTAACTCAGTAAGTATTTACAGAGATCTTTCTTTATCACTTACCAATATCAGCCTCAAGTTGCTGGAGCAGGCCCATGTTACCTGAACAGTATTCTGGAGTTACGTATACAATCCGGTATTTACCTCTGTAAAAACAAACAAAAGAAAAAAGAAAAAAAAAAAAACAGGAAGGGAAACATATTAACAATAAAGAAAACAATCATCTCAAGGAATTACAACTTAAAATCAAGATACCTTATGAAAGTTTAAATAATACTTTATGTCACGAAAATCTAAAAGAATGCTATATATATGCAGAGAATGCTTATCTCTTCAGAGAGAAAAATGAGGAAGACTCACTAAAGACTACAGATAAAAAGAAAGACCTATTGTATTTTCCAAACCCAATTCCAGTCTCTTCCTAAGGGCTGGCTAATTTCTTTTGAGTGGGATCTATGAGACATTCCTTTATCCTTAATATAAATTTCAATATACACTCATGCTAGCTTGAGTTAATTTCTATTCTGGGTAGACAGAATCCTAATTAAGACAATGTTTGTAATAAAGCTAGGTCTGGGGCAAAATATTTACAGAGTCTGCTCTCCATTCTATGAAATGAAAACCTAGATCAAGTCAAATGTAATGAAACTTAATTTTCTATATGGAAAGACTTTAAAAGCATTCACCTGTCCATTCAACAGATAAGTTTAAGTGTCTATTGTGCGCTAGGCATTGTGCTTTCACAAGGAATCAAATAGGAACAAAACAGATATGCCTTTACCTTTATGAAATTAATATTGTATTCTAATTAACATAGGAAATGGTATAAAGAATAAGCTCTGATGTCAAACAGCCCAGTTCTACTTCTTACAAGGTAAGTGATGTTAGCCAAGTTACTTTAGTATGCCTAGTTTCTTCGGTATAAAACGGTGACAATAACTATCAAGACAGCTAATTGTTTCGATATCTAGATTCAAGGTAAACTCATTCAAAATCCCAGCAGGCATATGGGTTGAAAAGGTGATGCTGACATGCTCACAGAAATACAAAGGACATAGAATAGCCAGAACAACTTTGAAAGAAAAGAGCAAAGCAAGAGGCCTTGCGCTACCTGATTTCCAGGTTTATTATAAAGCTACAGTAATCAAGACACCAATCAAGACAGACAAATAGATCCACAGAACACAGAATAGAGAGTGCAGCAATAGACCCACATATATGTAGTCAATTTATTTTTGACAAAGGTACAAAGTCAATTCAGTGTAAAAGCATAGTCTTTTTAAAAAATGGAGCTGGAACAATATGTGAAAAATACATAAACTGTAATCAATACCTCATACAATAGACAACATTTACTAAAAATGAATCGTAAATCTAAATGTAAAACTTAAAACTATAAAACTTTTAGGAGAAAACATAAAAGCAAATCTTTGTGACCTTGGGTCAAAACACTAAAAGCAAAATCCCTAAAAGAACGAATCGACAAACTGGACTTTATCAAAATGAAAAACTGCTGCTCTTCAAAAGAACTGTGTGGAAAGTATGAAAAGCCATAAACTAGGAGAAAATGTTTGCAAAGCATATATCAAATAAATAATTTATATTCAGAATATAGAAATGACTATCAAAACTCACTAAGAAAAAATAGGCAAAAGATTTGAACAGATACTCCCTCAAAGAAGATATACAGATGGCCAATAAGTGTATGAAAAATGCTCAATATAATTAGTCATTAGGGAAAAGCAAACTAAAAATACAATGAGATACTATTAGAATGGCTTAAGTTAAAGATCAGCCAGACTAAGTGATAGCAAGGATGGGGAGGAACTGGACCTCTCATACACTGCTGGTGGGAATATCCCATGATACAATCACTCTCAAAAGCTTCATAGTTTCTTAAAAAATTAGCATATAGCCCAGCAATTCCACTCTTAGGCATATATGCAAAAGCGTTGAAAATGTATGTTCATAAAAAAATTGGTACACAAATGTTCACAGCATCATTATTCATAACAGCCAAAAAGGAAACAACCCAAATGTCCATCACTGATGAATGAATTTTTAAAATGTGTATGCCCATACTATGGAATATTATTCAGTCATAAAAAAAGACCGAATGAAGTACTGATATCACTATGCTAAGTGGAAGATGCCAGACACAAAAGGCCATATAATGTATAAGTTAATTTATAGAAACATCCAGAATAGGCAAATCATAGAGACAGAAAGTAGATTAGTGGTTGGAAGTGGGCAGAACAGAGATAATAGGCCGGGCAGAGTGGCTCACGCCTGTAATCCCAGCATTTTGGAAGGCTGAGGTGGGACAATTACTTGAGCCCAGGAGTTTGAGAGCAACCTGGGCAACATAGCAAAATCTCATCTCCACTCAAAATAAAACAAATTAGCCAGGTATGGTAACATATGCCTACAGTCCCAGCTACTCAGGAGACTGAGGTGGGAGGATCAATTGAGCCCAGGAAATCAAGGATGCAGTGAACCAAGATCATGCAAGTGCACTCCAGCCCGGGAGACAGAGGGAGACCCTGACTCAAAAAAAAAAAAAAAGAAAGAAAAGAAAAGGGAAAATAGGGAATGACTCCTTAATGGGTATGGAATTTCTTTTGGGAGTTAGGAAAATGTTCTGGAATTAATTATGATGGTTATATATTATTACTATACCAAAACCCACTGGACTTTAGTAATGATTAAAATGGTAAAAGTTATGTTCTGTGAATTTTATCTCAATTAGAAAAAAGAAAGTTAAACATATATGCATCACATGTTCCAGTCATTCCGCTCCGTCATATATAATAAAATGAAAACATATGTCCATACAAAGACTTACATACGAATGTTCATAGCAGTTTTATTTGTAATAACCCAAAACTGGAAACGATCCAAATGTCTATCAGGTGAATGGATAAACAACTTGTTGGATATCCATAAAATGTAATCCACTTAACAATAAGAGGAATGAACTATTAATCACTGTAATAACATGAATGAATCTCAAAATAATTATACTGCATTATTTAAATCAGACAAAAAAGAGCACATAAAATATGAATGACTCCATGTATATAAGTTTAGAAAATGCAAACTAGTCTACAGTAACAGGAAGGAGCTCAGCAGTTACCCGGTGACTGGGGTTAAAACAAAAAGGTAAACTTTGTGGGTGATGAATATGTTCATTATCTGGATTGTGATGATGGTTTCATGAGTGCATACCTGTGTCAAAACTTATCAAATTATACATTCTCAGCATATAAAATTTATTGTAAGTCAATTACACCTCAATAAAGGTGATTTAAAATGCTTAGAAAAAAAGAAAACATGTTCACAAAAAAGATTTTTATAAGGATGTGTATAGCAGCTTTATTAGTAACAGTCCAAAACCAGAAAAATAGCCTAGGTGTCTATCAATAAGAAAATGTAAAAACAAACTGTGCTATATTCAATGAAATACAATAAAATAATAATCAGATATTAAAACAACAACAACAACAACAACTGCATCAGGTGCGGTGGTTCACGCCTGTAATCCCGGCACTTTGGAAAGCCAAGGCAGGAGGATCGCCTTCTAATTTTATCTCAGAAAAAAGAAAGTTAAACATATATCCACCACACGATCCAGTCATCCCACTCCTTGACATGTATCAATAAAATGAAACCATATGTCCATACAAAGACTTATATGTGTCTCAGCTTTATTTGTAATAATCCAAAACTGGAAACAATCCTGACGCCAGGAGTTCAAGACCAGCCTGGGCAACCAAGCAAGATCCTGTCTCTACAAAAAATTTAATAATTAGCCAGGCATGGTGGAACATACCTGCAGCCTAGCCTACTTGAGAGGCAGGAGGATAGCTTGAGCCCAGTAGTTAGAGGCTGCAGTAAGCTATGATTGCGCCACTGTACTCTAGCCTGGGTGACAGAAGGAGACCCTGACTCTGAAAAAACAAAAACAAAACAAAACAAAACAAAAAACTACTGATACATGCAACAGCATGAAAGAATCTCAGAAACATTACAGCAAATGAAAGAAGTCTTACACAAAAGAGTTAATATTGTGTGACTGCATTTATATGGCATTCTACCAAACTATGGTAGAGAAAATCGGAGCAGTGGCTTGCCTAGGATGGAGGATGGAAGGACAGACTGGGGAGGGACATGAAGAAACTTTCTAGAGTGTCAGTGATATTCTGTATCTTGTTAGAGGTTTGGTTTACATCTTTGTATGCATTTATCAAAACTCAGTAAATATATGTGTATCTCGTGTGTATGTATATACTAATATATACGTAAAGAAAGCAACTGCTTAATGGGCAGGGGTGTTCTTTTGGGAGTGATGAAAATGTTCTGAATTAGAACATGCATATATATGCATATATATTAATATATGTGTGTGTATGTATATATAAGTGTACATATGTTTGTGTGTGTGTGTACATATACACACACACACACACACACAAAATGGGTGTGTGTATGTGTATCTGAGATGACATTCTCCTTAGGAATTACATCATGATAGAATTGGTTGGGCAAGAGACCTAGAATCCAGTCCCTGCTCAGCCAGTCATTGTGTGATTTTGGGCAAATTACTTGTCTCTGAGCCTCAGTTTTCTCATCTATAAAATGAGACAAATCTTTATATTCTCCAACTTCTCTTCCAAAACCAAAATTTTTATAATTCTATGAGTACAATGCTAATCTTATAGCCCAAGAACCGAGAATAACAGATTTCTTCAAGTTTGAAGGATTTAAAAAGTAACAGTCCTGCAAAGGTACAAAA
Source organism: Homo sapiens (assembly GCF_000001405.40). Classification (NCBI taxonomy): domain Eukaryota; kingdom Metazoa; phylum Chordata; class Mammalia; order Primates; family Hominidae; genus Homo; species Homo sapiens. Next base: position 31,092,118 of record NC_000008.11, on the reverse strand, counting down.
GAAAGTGCATTTTAAAATCATGGACTTTTTTTTTCATGCATTTAGTAAAATTTGTTTGTATACAAAATTCTCTCATATACCACAGACATCTGACCACATGATTAGAAATGACATAAATTACTCACAACTTCCTCAGCAACATGTAATTCACCCACGTAACAAACTTGCATATGCACCCCCATAAATCCAAAATAAAAGTTGAGGGAAAAAAATTACTCACAATTTAATATCTGTTAGAACATTTTCTGACTGTGCTGATCCAAGGAAGCAAGCTGGGATGTTGGACATTCTATAAGAAGAAAAACAAATATTCTGGCACCATGTACACATTACACATATCAATTTCACTCTTAAGTGAGAAAGAATAAAGAAATATAATAATTTATATTCCTGTTCTTTGCAATTTTCTTTTTTGTCACTTACTAACTTGATAAGCAAATTCCTTCAAGGGCCTTATCAGAATGCAAGTTTTTAAGGTGGGTCTTTGAAAGAGACTGCAAGCTCAGGGCAGCAGGGGATGACAGGGGGTAAAGGAATAGGTTGCTAGAACCTATTCCTTCTAACTGTATGTTTGTACTCATTAACCAACAGTAGGGTAACTATAGTTAACAACAACACTGTGTATTTCAAAATAACTCAAAGAAAAGATTAGAAATGTTCCCAGCACAAAGAAATGATAAATGTTCAAGTTGATGAACAAATGCCCTGATTTGATCAAGTGTATTTGATATGAGTGTATCAAAATACTACAGTACCCCATGAATATGTAAAGATATTATGTATCAATTTAAAACAGATTGCAAGCTCAGGTTGAAGAAGCTGAAAAGTGTTTCATAGATAAAAAATATACTTCCATGTATACACTTCTTATCAAGCTAAAAAGCAAGGGTAACAAAAAGAGAAAAGAATTTTGAGATATTCAATGTAAACCAGCATAAAGTAATAATGTTTTTTAAAAAAATTTTATCAGGGCCACCTGGTAGCTTTGAATTACAGAGAACACAAGAAAGAAGGTAAGCTCTTCCACTAAAGGGTCATTTATTACCAATAAAGATAAAGCAATACCTGCAGAAATGTGTTATTGTGAACTAGATTTTAACATGCATGATGGATCAGATGTTTCACCCACAGAAGAAAAAAAGAGGGTGATATTGTGGCAATGATAACATGACTTACTTAAGCTGTAGCACTTGGTCTTCCATCAGAGAAATAAGGGGAGAGATAACAAGGCCAATCTTGCCTACATAAACAGGTGGATACTGGAAGCACAAACTCTTTCCATATCCTTGAAATGAAAAAAATATAAAAATAAAATGAAAAAAATATAGAAATAAAAATAAACCTTTGATGCTTTCATTTCTTTTTACAATGTACTTATACAGATGAATGGTCAATACTAGTATGCTATCTTCCTAAAAGCTAATTGATACATAAATCTGAGCATCTGTTCTTTGTTCACTCTCTTCTATAGTTTACATCATTTGTAGTTGCATTTGTATTTTGAGAGTTTAATGAAAGATTAAGCATTTCAAACTCTTTATGTTTTATTTTTTTAAAGGATTAGGTTTTGCTTAAGTACAACTTACCAGTTGCCATGACAGCAACATTATCTCTTCTTTCTTCTAATACTGAATGAATCACTTTCCACTGAACTCTTGAAGGTGAAAAGCAAAAAGCTATTTTGTTTTATTAATAAGAAACCCAAGGTACAAATTAAAATCCATTCAATTTTTCATTTCCTCTCATAGAATTTATTTTCAAACTTCATACATAAATGCACAAACCTGGAACTTTAAAACAAACAATGCCATTTGACCAATGTCCCATTCAAGCTAACTAACAACTACCATTTGGTATATATATTAAATTTCACTACATACATCTAAAGTAAAAAACAGATTCTAAGCTTCATACTAGATATCCAAAAGAATCAATACTTTAAAATAATAAGAGAAATGCTCAGGGACAAGGACTGACTGAAAAGGGAAATAAGGGAACTCTGTGTGGTGATGATAATAATATCTCTTGATAAGAATTTGGGTTACATGGGTATGCACATGTATATTTAAAATTTGCAAATGTACACTTAAAGTTTTATATTTCCTTACGTGCAAATTTTACACCAAAGAAAAAACTGTTAAGTAAATATTTAACTCGTTAATAATTTACATGCTGAAATACTTAGGTGGAAGTGTAATGGTGTCCTCGATTGACCCTGAGATGCATTTTAAAACTGGAATGAATGAATGGATGGATAGAGACATATGAATGGATGGATATGTGATAAAGCAAGTATAGTAATGATAGTTGAATTTAGGTGGTGGGAATACAGACATGCACAGAAAAAAGTTCTTTCAACTTTACTACATCTTAGAAAATTTTCTTAATAAAATATCATGGGAAAAATCAATTGGAGAGGTGGTCTTCTGGCATGCTGTTACTGACCTATTCTTAACTAAGTGCTGGCCACAGGGTGCCCAGTTTATGACAATTCATTGATCTCTACAACATGTGCACTTTTCTGTATGTAAGACATAAATAAAAAATGTTTAAGATCAAAAGAAAAAAGGAAAGAAATACTTCAGTGGATTATATTTTAAATTCTCAGAATAGGAAAAATCCAGTCTAGATTTTCACAGGCTTATTAGTTTTATTCACATTTACTTGTTCATCTCATTCTTATTCATCTCATTTAATCCTCACAAAAATGTGCCTGTTAGATGTAAACAAATTTTGAGTACATTAAAATAGATAAGATTATCACTATTCCTCAAATTGTTGTATTAAGAACTTCTAGTACATCTGCATGTTCTGGGTAATATACACAAAACAGGCACATAGACACTCGTTTAATGAAAAACAAGTCAGTATTAAATTAACATTTATTTATAAGTATCTTTAAACTAGTTTCTACTCAGAACTGCTCAGTTAAAGGAAAACCATTTTTCCTCACTTATAAAAACAATTTGCAGAAATGAATTTTATATAAATATCACTTTGAAATAATTTTGTAGTCACACAGAAAATACAGTGTGGCATGTATAACTATAGTGAAGTTGTGCTGTTGCTGTTAAGCAGACAGGTTATTTGCCTTTTCCCTTGTTTTAAAGAGAATACTAAATATGTGATTTGATTAAATGAGATTATACTCACGGTTTAAAACTGGAATGGCCAAAGTACATCTTGAGGCAAGTAACTTGCTCTTCATTGGGTGCTGGCCACAAAAAGTCTGGAAATAAAATAAAATGTGCATTTATGTTCAAGTAGAAAAACACCACATAGAGGGAGAAAACAGTTTATTTCATTGGCTTCTTTGAAAGAATACAGTGACAGCTACCATGGGTTAATGTTTTCTATTTTTTAATTCCAATACAAACTGGTCTTCTGGGTACCATCTGTGACACTTGGATTACTTTTAAGTATTAGAATTTTGTTGTGATTCACACTTTGCCAGGACTATTAAAAAAAACTGATGTTTTAGAATCAGGAATACTTCTAAAGGCTAACATTTAGAACAAACCATGGCAAGCAATATACCAATCCAAATGTTATAATATAACCAACCTTCAATTAATGGTAATCAGAAATTACATTAGTCCCGCACTAAAAAAATCCACAGATAAAATAAAATCTTCGTTTTAGTTACCTAAAGCTAAATGTAGTTACACCAAAATTTAGTTACGAAAATCTCGTTTAGTTTAGTTACCTAAATGTCATTTAGTTAGGAAAAGTTAGTTACCCACATCTTTGGTCAAAATTCTAACTGCACAGCACAATGAAGTTATGTTAGCTCTACCCAAGTCACTTTCCCTGTCCACAGTGAGCTTGAAAGATTCCTGAGTGGCCAAGAAAGGGCAAAACAAAGAATCAAGATAATTAACCACTAAACAATAAAAGTTCATTGTTAGAGTTCTCAGCTTTAATAATTCTAAATGAGAGCTATAATGATTTGGAGAAATACAAAAAAACAAAGGGAAAGATATTTTTATCATCATAATGCTATTACTCTATTTTTCTAAGTAGTAAGATTGTGCTTTATGGAGACAAAAGCACTAAGGAGACAAAAGCTTATAAGGATCCAATAATTAACTATATGCCACAAAGTCCCTGACCTCCAAACCATCCAAAACTGGATCCTAAGTTAAAGTCAGTGGTAGGTATCACAGGTGAGTCATTTCAAACATACTTCAGTGCTTACCCTTATCATCATCTTCTTCCCCTTCATTAGCTTCATTTTCATCATCTTCTTCTTCTTCTTTAGTAGGAAGACCCAGATTTCTTTCCATTTTTAAGCATTTAGAATGAGTTGGTTCTACCGTGCCACTATTGAGGTTTTCTAAAGACTGAAAGTTTAAAAGAAATCTTAAAAGCAAAACCACTGACAGTGTCGTATCTTTTTCACCAAACACAAAAGGACTATTATTAACAGGGCCTACAATTTTGTCGAAAGCTGGCAGATGTGCAAGCCATACTACAAAAGAACATGTGTGCTCCGGTTTAAATATGTGCTCATGAATGGTTTCTAAGGCGCAAGGCCAAAGATGGAACATTTCCAGCATAAACAAGGCTCATTAATAGCATATAATAAACTGCCCCTGGGGAAAGCTATCATAAATTTTAAATTTGGATAATTTAAAACATTTTATTCTTTATTGCACCTCAATATTTTCGATTCTCAAGTAGTAAACGTGGATTTTAATGTTATTTTTGGAACAAGTTTCTCTATATCATGTGTCAGTCGCATTCTTTCTGAATAAGGCTGAAACTATGAGCAAACAATAAATGTGTTTTGGAATTGTCAAAACAACAAAAGATTCAAATCATTTTAGAAAAGGAATTTTACAAACATGAAATAAAGTTATTTGTTTTTATTTTGGCTTGACAGTATCTGACATTCTCCCCTAAATAAAGATTATCTATTTCAAGAATATTTCAAAATTGTTTCATCTATAACATTTTTTAACTATGAAGAGACAGGAAGACTTTATTAAACTACAGTTTTTACTTTCTCTTTTTATTAAATCTTTTATTTAATATTTTCATTTTGAAGGTTTTTTTTTAAAAAAAAGTATGTTCATTTCAAGCCTGAAGGCAGAAGAAAGAAGTGTTTCTGTTTGTTTTATTTTATTCAAGTCCACAAACATACTTAGAATGCATGTTTAAAATAGAGTTCTCTAATATGGGCATCCAGGTTGCCTTCTAAGAGATTTAATGTATACGTTTGTAGACGTCCACAAGTTTCCTATAAATGTACTATTGGAACAGTACTTCTCAGAGAAATGGATAATTAATAACAAAATACAATTCAGTATTTATGTTCTAGTTTTACTGTTAGCTAATATGTATTAAACACTTACTAAATGTCAGGCTCTATACTAAGCTCTTCTCAAGCAATACCTTAAATAATAATTACAACTGTTAACCGAGTATCAAAGATGCTAAGAAACTTCCCCAAAGTCACACAGATACTAACTGGAAAAGCTGGGATACAAACCTACATCTGAATTCACAATCTACTTTTTTTTTTTTAATTTTTTAATTGAGACAGGGTCTCACTCTGTCACCCAGGCTAGAGTGCAGTGGCATGGTCATGGCTAACTGCAGCCTCAACCTCCCCAGGCTCCCCAGGTGATCCTCCCACCTCAGCCTCCCAAGTAGCTGGGACTAAAGGCACATGCCACCACACCCAGCCAATTCTTGTATTTTTCTGGAGAGAGAGGGTTTTGCCATGTTGCCCAGGTTGGTCTCAAACTCCTGGAATGAAGTGATCCTCCTGCCTCGGCCTCCCAAAGTGCTGAGATTACATGAGTGAGCCACCATGCCTGGCCCTAGAATATACATTCTTACTCACTACTCATTACTTGGCCTCAAAACTAAAAAAGTCAATAAATTAATCTCATTTCATAAAAATAAAAAAATCTCATCAACCTAAAGATTAGGAATAAAAAAATGCATAATGGGGAACTTCTGTGTTTTTCTTCATTTTTTACTTAATTTAGCTACATTGGCTTTTCTTATTATACATCTTTGGTTAGTAACACCTGACAAAGAAATTAGAGGTAAAGGAATAGAAAATATATAAATTATAAACTAGTATTTTCAATCTCAATAATAAGAGTAAAACTGAACCATTTAATCCATTTGAAAATTATATAATATAAAATATCCATAGTAAATAATACCAAAGAAAGTAAAGATGATTATTGAATGTATAAAAACAAAACTTCCAAATAAAAATGGATACACATGAATTGGAAGAAAGGAAACTCAATTTCAATACTGGAGAGCCAAATCACTACCCATATTCCAGGAAAAAATTACAAGAAAGTAACACAAGAAGGAACACAGGGCTGGATGCGGCGGCTCACACCTGCAATCCCCAGCACGCTGGGAGGCTGAGGCCAGTAGATCACTTGAGCCCAGGAGTTTAAGACCATCCTGGGCAACATGGTGAAACCCCATCTCTACAAAAAATACAAAAATAAGCCGGGTATGGTGGCACACGCCTGTAATCCCAGCTACTCAGGAGGCTCATGCAGGAGAATCACTTCAGCCCTGGAGGTGAAGGTTGCAGTGAGCCAAGATGGCACCACTACACCCCAGCCTGGGTGACAGAGTGAGACCCTGTCTCAAAATAAAAAAAAAAAAAAGAAGGAACAAAGAAAGCACAATTAAAATTAGTATATTACCTCTAACCCATTATTCATAGACTACATAAAAGAAACATGAATTGGAAAATGTGAAATCTAATGTTACATAATTAGTAGCAATTTCATTGTGGTGGAACCTGGTTTAGAATTAGTTAATATTTTACTTAATTAAATGTCCTTTGGAAAGAACTTGAAGTAATGTTTTTATAATTGTAAACATACCTTAAGCATCTCCATTTCTAAATCTTCATCACTCTCAATTACATAGGACGTATCGTTTTCATTATCATTGGGAGATAAATGCTTTAAAAAAAAGTATTAAGCATTAATTTCCAATATAATTGACTTCATATCCTCTTTTCTGCAGAACAAAGCTCCTATATACTAGATATCTTTAGACAGCTTCCTCTTCCCTAATGGATATATAATATATATTTACATATTTATATGATAGATAAAAAAGGGAGAGAGAGAAGAATGAACAAAGAAACAAAGAACCAAAGAGAAAGAAAGAAATAGGAATACAAAGTTAGATAAAGAGACAAAATAAAATCCCTGCTCTAAACAAGAATACAAAATGACAAGTTCAACTCAGGTTAAACAATATCAAACTGTGTCTCCCAAACTTTTTGAGTATAAGAACTCTTCACAATGTTGAAAAATGCTGTACAAAGAACAATAGCTGTTTTTGACATCCACTGATTTTAAAAAGATTGCAAAAAACTACTGACTGTAATATCTTTAAATAAATCAGTATTTTACAAATAGCATTCTCTATATAATTGAAAAATAGTGTCAGAGATGTTATTTATTCAGTCTACTGCCAATGTTTGGGTATGAGGAAACTTTTCAATAATTTGGCAATCTCCAGGAACCAAGTGTCCAACAAGATGGGATCCCCCACAAAAATCCATAGAAAGAAAACCCTCAAAAAATGCCAAACATTTAAACAGAAAGTAGGAAAAGGAAGCACAGCCTTAATTAACCTGCAAAATTTAAGCAATAAAAAAATTGAAAATAAGCTTTTTACTAGGAAAAAAGTTCTTTTTTTAAAAAAAAGTTATTTTACTTCTTATTTAACGAATAAAGAAAACAATACTAATAATTGGTACCCAATAAAAAAATGGCAATAATTTGTGTAAAAGATGTCAGTCAAATCATGAAATCCAAGGCCAGGTGTGGTGGCTCACACCTGTAATCCCAGCACTTTGGGAGGCCAAGGCGGGTGGATTACTTGAGGTAAAGAGTTCGAGACCAGCAAGGACAACATGGTGAGACCCTGTCTCTACTAAAACTATAAAAATTAGCCGGGCATGGTGGTGCACGCCCATAATCCCAGCTACTCGGGAGGCTTATGCAGGAGGATCACTTGAGCCCAGGAGGTGAAGGTTGCAGTGAGCCGAGATGGAGCAACTGCACTCCAGCCTGGGTGATAGAGTGAGACCCTGTCTTCAAAATAAAAAATAAGAAGGAACAAGGAAAGCACATTTAAAATTAGTAAATTACCTCTAACCCATTATTTATAGACTACATGAAAGAAACATGAATTGGAAAATGTGAAATCTAATGTTACATAATTAGTAGCAATTTCATTGTGGTAGAACCTAGTTTAGAATTAGTTAATATTTTACTTAATTAAATGTCCTTTGGAAAGAACTTGAAGTAATATTTTTATAATTGTAAACATACCTTAAGCATCTCCATTTCTAAATCTTCATCACTCTCAATTACATAGGACGTATCGTTTTCATTATCATTGGGAGATAAATGCTTTAAAAAAAGTATTAAGCATTAATTTCCAATATAATTGACTTCATATCCTCTTTTCTGCAGAACAAAGCTCCTATATACTAGATATCTTTAGACAACTTCCTCTTCCCTAATGGATATATAATATATATTTACATATTTATATGATAGATAAAAAAGGGAGAGAGAGAAGAATGAACAAAGAAACAAAGAACCAAAGAGAAAGAAAGAAATAGTTAGGAATACAAAGTTAGATAAAGAGACAAAATAAAATCCCTGCTCTAAACAAGAATACAAAATGACAAGTTCAACTCAGGTTAAACAATGTCACACTGTGTCTCCCAAACTTTTTGAGTATAAGAACTCTTCACAATGTTGAAAAATGCCGTACAAAGAACAATAGTTGTTCCTTGACATCCACTGATTTAAAAAAGATTGCAAAAAACTACTATGATTGTAATATCTTTAAATAAATCAGTATTTTACAAAAAGCATTCTCTATATAATTGAAAAATAATGTCAGAGATGTTATTTATTCAGTCTATTGCCAATGTTTGGGTATGAGGAAACTTTTCAATAATTTGGCAATCTCCAGGAACCAAGTGTCCAACGAGATGGGATCCCCCACAAAAATCCATAGAAAGAAAACCCTCAAAAAATGCCAAATATTTAAACAGGAAGTAGGAAAAAGAAGTACAGCCTTAATTAACCTGCAAAATTTAAGCAATAAAAAAAATTGAAAATAAGCTTTGTACTAGGAAAAAAAGTTATTTTATTTTTTAAAAGTTCTTTTACTTCTTATTTAACGAATAAAGAAAGCAATACTAATAATTAGTACCCAATAAAAAAATGGCAATAATTGGTGTAAAAGATGTCAGTCAAATCACGAAATCCAAGGCCAGGTGCAGTGGCTCACACCTGTAATCCCAGCACTTTCTCTACTAAAAATACAAAAATTAGCCGGGTGTGGTGGCGGGCACCTGTAATCCCAGTGACTCGGGAGGCTGAGGTAGGAGAATCACTTGAACCGGGGAGGCAGAGGTTGTAGTGAGCCAAGACTGCGCCACGGCACTCCAGCTTGGGCGACAGAGATAGATTCCATCTCAAAAAAAAAAAATCATGAAATCCTGATAATCCTATAATATTATATGAAACATATCACTTAAAGTGTATACCTAATAAGAAATTCCTAGAAAATCAAAGGGAAATGCAGATGTTAGCAAAAACTGATATTTCCCAGAAGGGGAACATCTTTTATGAATGGTTGGTATGAGAATATTTTGAAAACCATTTTAAAATGAAATGCATGTTTATACTGATAAAAGTGATTACTAATAGTTACCAAAATACAGAGAATTGCTCAAATGCTAAAATTATTGTTGCCATTAGAAAAATGATGGGGAAATAACTCTAATTAAATGGTCAAATCTAATTTTTTAAACTTATTTATCGTGAAATAAAATATAAAATTTCAGAGAATATAGGCATCTTAAGTAATTTTGTAAACTAATGCAAAACAAATGAGAAATTAAGAAATCAATTTAATGAAGAAATTAAGGAAAAAATCTGACTCTGAGATGACAGTAAAACTATAGTGTCAAGCAAAAGCATCAGGAGTTTATTAGAAACTCTCTCACATGAGCAAGTAAAGAAATTCTGGGCCAGGCACAGTGACTCACACCTATAATTCCAACACTTTGGGAGGCCAAGGCAGGTGGATCACTTGAGTCCAGGAGTTGGAGACCAGTCTGGGCAACAGAGCGAAACCCCATCTCTACAAAAAATACAAAAATTAGCTGAGTGTAGTGGTGCAGGCCTGTGGTCCCAGCTACTAGGGAGGCTGAGGTGACAGGATCGCTTAAGCCCAGGAGTTGAAGACCGCAGGGGGCCAAGATCCCACCACTGCACTCCAGCTGGGGTGACACAGCAAAACCTTGTCTCAAAAAAAGAAAGAAAAAAGAAAAAAATTCTGTATAAAGAAATAAAATACACCCCCAAAAATCAAAGTCAGAAGAGTAAACACTAGTAGATATGAAGAGAATCCACAAAAAGCAGAGACATCTATTATGAAAAAAGCATACGAAATTATAAAATAGCAAACTCCTACAAATGTCTGTTGATACTATAAAATCTTTCCACTACACAATGCTGCATATCATACTAAGTCAGGAACAGCAAACTACAGCTCGCAAGCCAAATGTGGCCCACTATCTGTATTTGTAGATAAAGTTTTATTGAAAGACAGGCACATTTGTTTACATTTGTCTGTGGCTGCTTTCACACTACAATAACAGAACTGAGTTACTGCAACAGAGACTGTATGTCCCACAAAGCCTAAAATATTTACTATCTGTCTCTTTACGGGAATAAAGTCTGCCAGAACCTACTAATAACTAAAAATGTGCTTCCTCTTTATTTAGTACCTCAGTAGATTTATAAGCAATATCACTAAGATATTCTTCCTGAGACTGCTGTTCCAAAATTTGGAGTTCATGTTCTGTAATATCTAACGACATCAAACAAGCTCTTTCCATATTCTCTTTCAATTTGTTGTCTTCTACTCCATCTTCAAATCCATCTTCTTTTCGTTCCACTTTATTTCCAAGTACATCTTCTCCATCATGTTTAGCTAAATGATCAAGTGTTGGGTCCCATGTTTCATCTTCAACGTGAATTAAAACTTCATGTTCTCTAATTTGTTTCTGTTGTACTCCCCCAGTAGTTGAATCTTCAAAGGATAATAAGTTTAAATTATTGCTGGGCCTCAGTTCAGTCTCAATGTTAGTAGACCCAATTATCATCCTCCTCAGTGAATATAGATTTTCTGAAATATCCTTTAGTAAGATAGAAACCCTAAAAAAAAAATTAAGAAAGATTAATTCAACTTCAATTGCATTAACTACAAGGACAAACTGTGAAGCTTTTTAACAAGTAAAAGCTTTCTAAGCTGACCTTCACTTAAAAGATCAATAGTATTAAGGCTGTTCTTCATTCCCTAATGCCCATATATAATTACAGCTTGCAGGCTACTCTCTAGCATCAAGGCACTTCTGCACCAACAGTTGACTTGTATGTTTACTAAGAGTCAGTAGTGCTTGGTCCCAAATTTGTTTATGTCAACTATATGTTTTTTGTTGATTAATTTAATTAAATGTAAAGAAAGTTGATGATACATGACCACCAAAAAAAAAAAAACCCTATTTCATTAAATTCTAAGTTGAATACATGGAAAGATTTTGTAAATTTGTTTTTTGTTAAAAAAAAAAAGGTGTTTGATAAACTGTGATAAAAGAACCCTAAAAGTGTCAAGGAAAATCATAATGCCTAGGACTCCGCACTCAGATTGCTTCAGGTGTCTTAATTTTTCACTCTGTCTTAAAGAATTGGAAATTGTAGATGGTACATTATAGGTGTGGTTTAAACAAGAAACACTATGCAGAACTCCAAAGAGCTGGCCTGTATATAATGAAAAAGCCTTGACATATATAAAAATATTGGGAACAAACAAACATTAACACTTTAAGTTAAAAGAAAATTTGGGGCGGGCACGGTGGTTCATGCCTGTAATCCCAGCACTTTGGGAGGCTGAGGCAGGTGAATCACTTGAGGTCTGAAGTTCCAGACCAGCCTGGCCAACATGGCAAAACCCTGTCTCTACTAAAAATACAAAAATTAGCTGGGCTTGGTGGCATGCGCCTGTAATCTCAGCTACTCAGGAGGCTGAGGCAGGAGAATCCCTTGAATCCCGTAGGTAGGGGCCCCAGTGAGCTGAGCTGAGATCGTGCCATTGCACTCCAGCCTGGGCGACAAGAGCAATACTCTGTTTCAAAAAAAAAAAGAAAGAAAATTTTGATGATACCGTTTTGCCTAATTTTTTCACCTCACTGATCAATTACTAGTCTCAACTGCAACAAGTAAGATTGTTTGTGATCTAATTTGAAAATGATGCTGTTTTGCATCTCCAAAAATCTCAAAACACTACATTTTTGGAACAGAAAAAATCAATTTGCCATCAGTAGGCAAATATAACAAGTGAGAAACTATGGATAAGATGCATATAAATAAATACGAGCTGAATTTCTTAGCTCCTTAATTGCAGTTGCTAATGTATAACATTTTAACTAAGTAAGTTTAAATGACTATATTATAAACCCAATCTAGTTAGTTGGAATGGAAAACCACTGCTAGAGTGTAAAATGAGGCACAATGTCTTGTTTATTTGTTGTAGAGCTTATTAAAGTACTTCATAAAAGCAGAAATCAGTGAAAGTGAAGGGAGTATGATAGGCAGGGACATGTTTTACTCTTTCATTAGCGATTTTGTTTAGGTCTTCTAATATTTATATATTTAAAATCCATGCTTAATAAAATCTGACATGTCTTTTAAATTTTTATATTAATGACTCAAGTAAAAATTTGATCCTTCATGGGAATAAACTATCAAAAGTACTAAGTGGTTTCATGAGTTATTTCCAGTTACTTCCATCACTGAAAACACCACTCCAAAGTTGGGCTCAAGCTTACGTAGACAAAGTCTACATTAACACAAACAAAATCAAGAGCAAAATTAAATTCAAAAACTAAAAGCACACTAATGTTATCTAATTTAAACATTCTAAGATGCTATAAATCTTATAAAGAACTTTTAGCTTTATATACAGCCACTCAAATGTTAAAATTATATGCAAATAGTTTAGTAGGAACAGATATGTGATACAGTTTAACTGTTACATGGACAGGAAATGGTGTAACATACAAACACAGCAACAGTGGCACAGATTGACTATCAAGAGTGTAAGGGCTCATTTATCAGGCCCTGACATCAGGGAATATAACATGCTTTATGTAAGATAACTAATATTTACTCTAACAAATACCAACGGCTGTCCTGCCTTCTTCAGTAAGGCACAGTATACTTTTCCTTCTTTTTCAGGATTGTTATTATGCATATTAGTAGCCTGCAGACAGCCTTAGCACCCAGCAGAATGTCAAGTACATGACAGCAATAGAAGAGATATATACCGAATTTAAATCAATGACTAAGCAGTACTATACACTGCCAATACCTTCAGAGTCCACTGAAGCATAAAGCTGCTCCCTTCTGTAACAAACTTCAAACCGTTCTATTTTAAGAGTTCTTAGTTCTAATTTTTATAGTTTTGTCCACTCTTTCAGATTGTCAGCTGTCACTTCCACCTACTGTCATGTGAATATGATTACTTATTTACACCATTTTCACTTTAACTCAGTACCCAAGCTTGTCAAACTGGATCTATGAACAAAATGTGGCCTCCTGCACTCCACAGAAATGCCGAAAGTAAGCTGGAATACATGCTTATAGCATTATTTTGACTGCTCAGAGGTCTTTTTTGTTCCCTCCTGGTTCTGAGGTGTCATCTAGATACATTAGGTATTACTGTAGACTTGTTACAAAGAGCATGAAATAAGAGACTAGTTATCGTTTTCACACTAAAACTTCACAAGACCCAGTATTTCCCATTTCCAAGTTTTAAGAAAACCTATTCAGCTTCAATATGTAAAAAGTAATTATATAAATTGATAATTCTTGTCATACCCAACTAAATCAGAGTCAAGGGCCAAGGGGAAAAAAGCACTCAAGGCACATAACATTACTCTAAGAATGTAATTTTCTGCAAGCCTAGCTGCTGAAACTGCCTATTGTAACCTAAAACCTGTTTTATCTAATAGATACTGAAACAACCTGTTGTGACTCTAAGACTAGTTTTACCCACCACAGTCACTAACCCATCAGAGCTTCCAACTCCCCAAAATTTACTAGTGCCAAAGAACTTTCTGGAAAAACAATGTCACATTTTCCTTTTTCTATAACCTCCAAACTTCTCTTTGTTCTTCAGAGATACCAAGGACACCCAGTCTGTGTATATGCCTCAAATTTAATTCTTGCTTCCCAAATAAAACATGTTCAATTTAAAGATCTGTCTCTATATTTTAATTGACTTCAACAGATATTATGAAGCAAAGCATTAAGCACATGTGATTTACATCCAGTAGATATTTTAATTGCTAGTACAAAAATCTGAAATGCATGTAAAAGTCATGTAAAAGGTGGCTGCTCTAATTTCATGGAGGGAAAAATGTATACATGAGTAAGAAATGGCTTTACTAGTATCCTTCCCCATTTTAAAGTTCATCTTTCAGGCTGGGCGCGGTGGCTAACGCCTGTAATCCCAGCACTTTGGGAGGCTGAGGCGGGCAGATCACGAGGTCCGGAGATCGAGACGATCCTGGCTAACACGGTGAAACCCCGTCTCTACTAAAAATAAAAAAAAAATTAGCCAGGTGGGGTGGCGGGCGCCGGTAGTCCCAGCTACTCGGGAGGCTGAGGCAGGATAATGGTGTGAACCCGGGAGGCGGAGCTTGCAGTGACCTGAGATCATGTCACTGCACTCCAGCCTGGGCAACAAAGCGAGACTCGTCTCAAAAAAAAGAAAGTTACATCTTTCAGAAATTGTCCAAGTTGCATTAAAAATTACCAACACAAATTCTAGGGTGGCAAATTACTTTGACAAAAAAGCTAAATTTATATATCATGGTTTTAAATCTCAATCAAAATCTATCACAAATCTTACCCAGAAAAGCATACATTAACTGCACTTTTTCGAGTCAGAATTCTTTCTATTCCAAGTAAGAGAATCACATTTCTACAAAGTATTTTTTGGCCCAAAATTACATTACCACATTCTAATTGTTCATTGTTCCAGAGCATTCCTGCTTTTAGAGATTTAATAAGGAAGTCATCCTGCAATTAAGGCCAGGACAAGGTCTGATTCCAAAAAGACATAGCCCCTGTATTCCAAGGTCTATTAATCTGTATAACATTTGATCCAAATTTTTTAAGTTACCTAGTGCTTTAACCATAAAAGAATCTCTAAAATTGGAATGCCTTTTGTTCTAATAATCTATTAATTAAGTAGAATTCTTAAGTAATAATCAGATAGTAACAGAAATGAGGCTACTAAATATGACATTGCTTTTGGTCACTATAGATTTCAAGTGACCAAACTATAAATGTTATTAAATCAAAGATACTCATTAACAGAAAGAAAATGACAACTTTGAATCTTAAATATTTTCCTTAATGTATAATTTATTTTGCTTTGACAAAAAATATAATATAGATATAATTTCAAAATGTATAATATGAATACAATTTCTATTCCTTTGTTTCATAAAACATCCTACAAAGCAGACAGAAAAGGCTTAAACCTTTGGATTCACTATTCAACAACTGGAAAGATATTTCTCAAATTTATGCATCAGTCTGTGTGTGTGTATTCAAGCAAATTTCTATGAGTCAGCCTTAATGAATAGTATTCTTCACATATAGGAAAATGTGATAAAAAAATAAACAGAATTGATTTAAGTTAAAAAAAAAAAAGGTAATATTTAACCTCCGTGGGTTTTCCAATTTACTGAAAGCATGAGGAAGATGCTTAGCCAGATCCATCACTTCCTCAGAGATTGAAGTCAACTGTTTGTTCATGTCGCTAAGTAGGATTTCTTCCTCTAGGGGGAAAAAAAATCAATATTAATTTTCAAACCACAAAGCAGAGATATTCATTTAGCCACTTCATTAAATAATATTAGGGATCAAATTTTCATTTTCTTTCCTTAAATGAATTCCAACAAAAAGACCTTCTTATTCAATCCCCAAATTGCCTCAATCACTTTCCCTCTCTTTCAAATTTTTACTGTTTACATTTAAAGTAAATTCCAAATGATCTGCAGTCATCTGTACTATAACCCAGCAGTTATTCACCTAGGCAGAAGGAGAAGGTGGAAATGAGAATCTGAACCTGTCTGTACTATTGCAAAATCAGAAGTCAGTATAACACCATGTATGCTGCTACTTAATAATACTGTTTAGTAAGCACAGCCTTCTCCAACAGTCATCCCTCATTGCCTTCATTCCCAGTCAGCACCAAAATAAAATGTAAGCCCTTCCTTTTTTTTTTTTTTGAGACAGAGTCTCACTCTGTCACCCAGGCTGGAATGCAGTGGCGCAATCTCGGCTCACTGCAACCTCCACCTCCCGGCTTCAAGCTATTCTCATTCCCTAGCCCCCGGAGTAGCTGGGACTACAGGCATGTGCCACCACGACCAGCTAATTTTTTTTTTTTTTGTATTTCTAGTAGAGACAGTGTTTCGCAATGGTGGCCAGGCTGGTCTCCAACTTCTGGCCTAAGGGATCCGCCCACCTTGGCCTCCCAAAGTGCTGGGATTACAGGCATGAGCTGCCACCCCCGGCCAAAATAAAATGTAAGCCTTTCTAATCAGTGATCAACTTCCAAATTCTCAACTTCATCCTGTCTGGTACATCATTTGCCATCAACAGCACAAAGCCTGCCCTGCTTTCCCAAACACTTCCCCTGCTTAGAATTTATTCATCATCATTTCTCTTGTCCTTCAAAAGCCCATCTCCTCTGAGGCCTATGAGACAGAGCTACAAAACCTGCTATTCCTGATTACTACAGTTATCTTGTCATCTCCAAACTGCATCCTTTCATCCCTTGGAGATCTTAGTGCCTGATTCATTAACTACTTTCACTCCACTACTATTCCTTGATCACTGCCAGTGAGTTCAACATCCACAGGCCAGTTCCTTGACCCCTGCATTTCCGACAATCTTTTCTTCAACAGACCTTAGCCACTCAATTCCATAGTCATACCGTTGACCTTATAATTGCCAATAAAATCACCACTTCCAGACTACAACTGTAAGCCTTCCACCCTGAGAACACCAGCATCCCTATCTTTCCTTCCAGCATGCTTTCCCCAACAATACTTTGACACTTGCAGAACCAAATGCATTGATCCTATCACCTTTTCCTTACCTATCAACATCCCTACTCCCACTGCCCACTGAGCCTTCCATTCCTCTCTTACCCACATTACAGTAATCATTCCTTTGTATCTATACTCTCAACTCCTTTGCTCTTCCCTCCCTCCATGGTAATTACGTGGCAAAACCTCTACTCATAATAAAACCCACTTTTTTTACCTACCTGATGCCTACACCCAAGCAGTTGAATATAGTTGAAAATAAACACATCGATGATGACACAAGTTATTTTAAACTCATGACAGATTTCAAACGCACCCTCAGCAATGACTGTTAATTCTTCTACATTTCCCACTCTCAAAATGACTATTTCAAACCTCTTCCTTTCTTTGTGAACTTCTAACACCTGTTTGACCCTCCTATTACTCAGAGAACTTCACCTCTTATTTCACTAAGAAAAATGAAATAATAAGAGAATTACGTCTTCCCACTTTTCAGTTTGCTAATTATTCAGTCTTCAGATCTCTACTCCCATTTATAGCGAAATTCCTTGAAAGAGTTGTCTACACTCACTCTCTCAAATTTTCTGCTCCCATTTCCTCCCAAACCAACTGCAACTAAGCTTTTACCCAAATCAGTAGAGCAAAGCTGCTTTTGAAAAGGTTACTCTTGGGCCGGGCGCGGTGGCTCACACCTGTAATCCCAGCACTTTGGGAGGCCGAGGCGGGTGGATCACGAGGTCAGGAGATCGAGACCAACCTGGCTAACATGGTGAAACCCCGTCTCTACTAAAAATACAAAAAAAAAAAAAAATTAGCCGGGCATGGTGGCGGGCACCCGTAGTCCCAGCTACTCCGGAGGCTGAGGCAGGAGAATAGTGTGAACCTGGGAGGCGGAGCTTGCAGTGAGCAGAGATCGCGCCACTGCACTCCAGCCTGGGTGACTGAGCAAGACTCTGTCTCAAAAAAAAAAAAGAAAGAAAAGGTTACTGATGGCCTCCACACCATCAAACCTAACTGTTAGTTCTAGACTCTCATCTCACTCAACCTCCCCGAATGATTTAAAGCAACTGACAACTTCTTCCTATTCCAAACATTTTCTTCAGGTGGCTTCAGAACTAAACACCTCCTGTACTTCCCTCCTTCATTAGTGGCCCTCCCAGTCCTCTTTGCTGCTCTCTCCTCATCTTCCCAACCTCTAAATGCTGGTGTGCCCTTGAGGTCAATATCACACCTACTCTTTATTTCATTCACTCCCTATTTTATCTCATTCAGTCTCACTGCTTTAACTACCATCGGATCTGAATTACATCTCCAACCTCAACCTTGAACTTTGGGATCATATTTCCCAAATTGATCCCAAATATTGATATCTCTTGGATATCAATAATCATCTAAAACTTAGGATATCCAACACTGAAATCTAAAGTTTTCTCACCCAAACCTGTTCTTCTCATAATCTGTCCACTATAACTGACCTTTCCATTGATCAGATGATCTGACCAAAATATCTTAATGTTCTATGAATCTTTACATCTCACCCCTTACAGGGAATTCATCAGCAAATCCTTCACAATATATATCTTCCAAATACCTACAGAAGCTACGACTTCTCATCACCTCTATTGCTACCCGCCTAATCCAAACAATTATTGTCTATTGCTTGGGCTGTTACAATAGCCTCCTAACTCTCTGCCAAAATGCCCTGGGGCTAAATATTTTTCCTCTTACGACAACCAGAAAAATATTTCTAAAATAAAATTTTAATTATATCATTCTTCTGCTCCAAATCCTCTATGGGTTTCCCATCACCCATCATCGTATTTATTTTCATTAATAAGAAATGAAGTCAGATTCACAGCCTACGAGGCCCTACGTGATATGGCCCAAGCTCCTTTTCTAGCCTCATTTCCTGCCACTCTTACCCTCACTCATTTCATTCAGTTATAGGTACTGTTCCTCCAAAAGAGCCAGCCAATCACCCTAGGAGGCTTTGCACTTTCTTCCCTCTAATCCTGCTAAGCTCTTCCTTCAGATAACCACATGGCTCCCTCACTTCACCCAAAGGAAATGAAGGGGCATGGTTTGCTTGGTTTGTAAATTTTCCCGAGCAACTCTAACAGTGCCTGACACATAAGCACCCAACATATAAGTGTTATATGCATCAATAAACGTTCCCTTTCCAAACTAAGCTTCTAGAACAGTTGTTTACACATGCCTTCGTTATTTCTAAAACAACTAAAACAAGCTTCTGAGAAAATGTTGTTTTCAAGCCAGATGCAGAGGCCTGAAACCCGAGGTATTCAGGAGGCTGAGGCAGGAGGATCGCTTGAGGCCACGAGTCTGAGCCAGGCTGGGCAACATAATGAGACCCTGTCTCTGTTCCCACATTCCTCAGATCTAACCTACTCCTCTATTCACGTTAATATGACTTCCACCCACCTCATTCTCTTGCTATGGTTATAGGACCTTCATGTTACCAAAGCCCGTGGACTCTTCTCTGTTTGAATAGCATATGCTCCAAATGACCACTCCTCAAATCACTCTTTTGCTACCCAGTACAGCAAAACTATTGTTTAAAAGATTACAAATGATTGGCGCATTGCCAAATCTAATGATGAATTCTAAGTCCTCAGTTTCTCAAACTCTCAGCAGAATTTAAAACAGTTGATAG